>NC_000023.11:144778636-145081666 GCF_000001405.40 Homo sapiens
CCAATGGAAACAAAAAGATAAAATTGTTACTACAAATCCAAAGCAGTCCCTCTAAACAGTGAATAAAAAATGGTGAAGAAACAACTGATAGCTGGAGCACTCTTTTTGTGTTAGTAGAAATGCCAAATTAAAAATACTGGGTAAACATATATTTATGAAAGTCATTTTTTTTGCTTTTGCAAAAGCACATTAGACCAAAGTTTTTACTTATATGGATCTTTAAGAAAGCACACAGGCAATACTCTTCAGCACCTTCATAGATAATTTTCTGTTTGAAATTAAAATCACTGTCTCCAAGTTTTATATGCTGTGCAGCATATTTTAAACAACATATTCATTCCCTCTAAAGAAAATCTCTATAGATGATTTTCTGCATTTTAATTTTACAATGCATGTACAACAAACAAAATTTCACTGGCTTGACAAAGACATAAAGTGGCTCTTACCCATTAGATTTTATTAATTATATTTTTGCCAACCCAAGGATTTATAAAAGCCTACTCATGAAAAACAAGGTCCAGAGCCTATCTAAAACTTGCAAATTACCCAAACATGCCATGGGTAGACTGTGAAGGTCAGCTGAGTATTCTTAAGGCATCTTTGTAGGATGCATACCAAAAAGAGAAGAAAAATTACAAAATCTAAAATTACTTTTACTTGGGAAGTTTCAGCAGTATTTTCATACAGCCTAAGCAAAACACAGAATAAAATATATTAGAGCTAATGGAATCCATAACTATTCTAGAAAGAATGAAATGAATTAAAGAAAAAATTAGGCTAAAAAACATTCATTTTAATTGTTAAGCACTCATTTATTCATTCAGAAATTATTGTTCACCACTTTTTACCCATTAGGATATGGGTAAGCTATGTTGAGAAAAACAAATAGTAAATAACAATTGTTGGTAAGAATGTAGAAAAATAAGATCCCTTGTGCACTGTTGGTGGTTATATAAAAATGGTACAGCTGCTATGGAAAACAGTATAGTGGTTCCTCAAAAAATACAAAATCATATTATCATATGATTCAGCAATTCTACTTTTTGGTATCTACCCAAAATTATTGAAAGCAGGGTCTTGAAAACCTATTTGTACACCCATGTTTATAGCAGCATTATTCACCATAGGCAAAACGTGGAAGCAACTCAAGTGTTCATCATGGATCAATTAATAAAACGTGATATATACATATAATAGATGTTATTTATCTTTTTAATAGAGGGAAATTCTGATGTAACCTACAACATGGATAAGCCTCAAGGATGGCTATGGTTTGGATGTCATCATCAAAACTCATGTTGGAACCTGAATTTCTAGTGTGGCAATGTTACAATGTGGTACCTTTAAGAGGTGATTAGGTTTTTAAACATAAATTAATGTCATTCTTAAGAGACTGGATTAGACATTACTAGAACGGATTTGTTTCCATGAGAGCAGGTTATTATAAAGGGAGGTTACCTTTTGTGTTTCGTCTCTTTTCATGTACATGCTTTTTCTTCCTCCTTCTTTGCCATGTTGTCATGCAGCACAGGGCCCTCATCAGAAGCTGAGCAGATGCCAGAACTATTCTTTTGGACTTTCCAGTCACCATTATTATGAGTTGAATAAACCTATTTTCTTTATAAATTATCTAGCCTCAGATATTCTGTTATAGCAAAACAAAGTGGACTAGGGCAAGGATTTTATGCTAAGATAAATAAGCCAGTAACAAAAAGACAAATACTGTATAATTCTAATTATATGCAGTACCAAAAGTAGACAGATTTGTATGGAACAGTAATCATCAGGTGCTGGTGAAAGAATCAACTGAGTGTTGTTGACCAATGGATATAGAGTTTTATTTTTGCAATCTAAAAAGAGTTGTGAGGATTGCTTGCACCACAATGTGAATGTAGATAATATTACTTAACTGTACATCCAAAATGGTTAAGTTAGTAAATTTTATGTTATATATATTTTTCCAAAAAAAATGAAGAATTATTGTTGAGTGTCCCCTATTGACTGAGAAACATATTAGAAATTGAGGGTATTGTGATACACAGATATGATTCCTTACCCCCAAATTTGAGAGAGTTGACAAAGACACAATATTTACGTATGATGTGAAAAGTTTGTGGGAGAAAGAATACTTACATTGATGTGAGGAGGTCAATGAACCTTTGCTGAAAGACTAAAGAATAAGTAAGAAATATCAAAATGCTTGAGAATTATTTTTTATACAAGCTGTGTGACCATACGCAAATTTCTTAACCTCTCCGAGTCTCAGATTCCTCATTAGTAAAATTGGATGATTTCTGTCAAGGAGTAATTGTAAGGATTAAATGAAATAATATATGTAAAGATCCTGACACAGTTTCTGGCAAATAGTGATCATAAAAAATTGTGTCTACATGTACACGTATGTTTATTGCGGCACTATGCACAATAGCAAAGACTTGGAACCAACCCAAATGTCCATCAATGATAGACTGGATTAAGAAAATGTGGCACATATACACCATGGAATACTGTGCAGCCATAAAAAAGGATGAGTTCATGTCCTTTGTAGGGACATGGATGAAGCTGGAAACCATCATTCTCAGCAAACTATCGCAAGGACAGAAAACCAAACACCGCATGTTCTCACTCATAGGTGGGAATTGAATGAGAACACTTGGACACAGGGTGGGGAACATCACACACCGGGGCCTATCATGGGGTGGGGGGAGGGGGAGAGATAGCATTAGGAGATATACCTAATGTAAATGACAAGTTAATGGGTGCAGCACACCAACATGGCACATGTATACGTATGTAACAAACCTGCACGTTGTGCCACATGTACCCTAGAACTTAAAGTATAATTTAAAAAAAAAAAACACATACACATAAAAAAATTGTATCTATTAGTATTAATAGCGTTCTTTTATTATCACTACTGCTGTATTACTCTGGCATCAACTTCTTTCCTGCATTGTTAAATCCTGTTGCTGCTATTTTAGTTTTCACTTGCATATCTATTCCTTCTTTCTTATTTTACTTTCTCTATCCAATTCCTCATCATTTCTTATTTGCCTTATTACAATGTAATATCCACCATTTTTATTGTTGTTCTTACGTTGCCGATAGAGTTGTTAGGATTCTGAGTTTACCAAAATGCATTCAGATCATGTCACTCTCTTCTTTAAGAATCTTGAAAGCTTCCTTCACACACAAAAAAACAACCAAGGCTGGGTGTGGTGGCTAACACCTATAATCCCACACTTTGGGAAGCTGAGGCAGGTGGATCACTTTAGGTCAGGAGTTCGACACCAGCCTGAACAGCATGTCGAAACCCCATCTCTAGTAAAAATACAAAAATTAGCCAAGTGTGGTGGCCTGTACCTGTAGTCCCAGCTACTCTGGAGACTAAGGCACAAGAATTGCTTCAACTTGGGAGGCAGAGGCTGCAGTGAGCTGAGATCATGCTATTGCACTCTAGCCTGGGTGACAGAGACCCTGTCTATCCCGTCTTAATAATAATAATAATAATAATAGTAATAATAATAATGATAGAAAACAAAATACCTTGGTGTGGTATTCTGAGCTCTCTTACGTTGAGCCCCACCTATCTTTACAGTTTTTTCTTTCACTATACTGTGTGATACTCTCCTTTGTCCAACTATAACAGACTTCTCTTCATTTCCCAAATATGTAGTACATTTTTGCTATTCTGTGCCTTTACACACTGCATTTCCTTTGGTTGAAATGGCATTCTTTACCTCTTCAAATTATTTCTTCCTTTGAATCTTAGTTCAAATATTACTTTCTTGGCGTTAATTATTGAATACAAATTTGTATATCAATGTCATATGGTACTTTATTCCCCTTAGTATGAATTTCCCTGCGTCCAAAGTCTGATTTAAGCATATCAATTTTGACTTCTGTATTATTTATGATCTGATTCCTTCTAAGTTCATCTCTAATCCATCCCTAACTCTTCATTGACAAATATCACTGGCTCTAACAAGATATTGTCATTTTCATTCCCCTCATATCAAGTCATTTAAGTATTCCTGGACAACCACGAGTCCTCAAAACTCTAGGCTTCCATTGCTTACTCATGATGTAACACTGTGTAATACCTTCTGCTTATACTTCTCAATACTCCTGGATTTTTGTTTCATGTATTAGCATTTGACTTGCATTTAGCTTCTAATTAAATTGCTTCTCAAGAGCAGAATCTTAAGTTTGTTTGTATTTTACAGCATCTGGCATTTTCCTTCATATAACAGATGTTTGTTCAGATGGTTGTTTTAGAGATATAAGGGCTTAGAAAATCTTAGAAACCAACTTATTTCATCTCATTTTACAGAGAAGGAAAATAGAGCCCAGAACAGAAAAGGTGTCCTCTAGGAAAGCCAAGTTAGTTAGTGGCAGGATGTAGAAAGGAGCTTCAGATTAAGATTTTTTGATTGATATTTTTATATTTGAGACTGTTTCAGATGTTATTTTAAGTTTTATGAGATAAATTTTAAGACATTTACTGAAAGCATTTTGTAAAATATTTTCTTGCTTTGTGTGGAAGCCAACTAAGTTTTAAATAAAAAATAACATACAACCTGATAGCATTTATGCATGAGTACAAAAAAATCTACTTTTTAAAATAAAAAAGCAGAAGAGACTTCCAGTATACAGAATCTTGTAGTTTTGCACTTCAGTCTAATGAGTAAAAGGTAAATAAACTGAAAAAGCAACAACTCTTCTTAGACCAGTAATAAAAGTGAGGCCACACGGCACACTGTTACCCCCAAATTGGAAAGTGTAACAGGAGAATAAATAAAGTTACACCATTCTGAGAGGTGACAGCGTGCTGGCAGGCCTCAGAGCCCTGGCTCGTTCTCGGCACCTCCTCTGCCTGGGCTCCCACTTTGGCGGCATTTGAGGAGCGTTTCAGCCCACCACTGCACTGTGGGAGCCCCTTTCTGGGCTGGCCAAGGCTGGAGCCCACTCCCTCAGCTTGAAGGGAGGTGTGGAGGGAGAGGCGCCAGTGGGAACCAGGGCTGCGTGTGGCCCCTGTGGGCCAGCTGGAGTTCCAGGTGGGCGTGGGCTTGGCGGGCCCACACTCAGAGCAGTCGGCCAGCCCTGCTGGCCCCGGGCAATGAGGGACTTAGCACCCGGGCCAGCGGCTGGGTCCCCCAGCAGTGCCAGCCCACCGGCGCTGTGCTCGATTTCTCACCGGGCCTTAGCTGCCTTCCCACGGGGCAGGGCTCGGGACCTGCAGCCCGCCATGCCTGAGCCTTCCCCCGCCTCCGTGGGTTCCTGTGCAGCCCGAGCCTCCCCGACGAATGCCGCCCCCTGCTCCAGGGCGCCCAGTCCCATCGACCACCCAAGGGCTGAGGAGTGCGAGCGCACAGCGCGGGACTGGCAGGCAGCTCCACCTGCAGCCCCGGTGCGGGATCCACTAGGTGAAGCCAGCTGGGCTCCTGAGTCTGGTGGGGAGGTGGAGAGTCTTTATATCTAGCTCAGGGATTGTAAACACACCAATCAGCACCCTGTGTCTAGCTCAGGGTTTGTGAGTGCACCAATCGACACTCTGTATCTTGCTGCTCTGGTGGGGCCTTGGAGAACCTTTATGTCTAGCTCAGGGATTGTAAATACACCAATCAGCACCCTGTGTCTAGCTCAGGGTTTGTGAGTGCACCAGTCGACACACTGTATCTAGCTGCTCTGGTGGGGCCTTGGAGAACCTTTATGTCTAGCTCAGGGATTGTAAATACACCAATCGGCACTCTGTATCTAGCTCAAGGTTTGTAAATACACCAATCGGCACTCTGTATCTAGCTCAAGGTTTGTAAACACACCAATCAGCACCCTGTGTTTAGCTCAAGGTTTGTGAATGCACCAATCGACACTCTTTATCTAGCTGCTCTGGTGGGGCCTCGGAGAACCTGTGTGTCCAAACTCTGTATCTAACTAATCTGATGGGGACATGGAGAACCTTTGTATCTAGCTCAGGGATTGTAAATGCACCAATCAGCGCCCTGTCAAAACAGGCCACTCGGCTCTACCAATCAGCAGGATGTGGGTGGGGCCAGATAAGAGAATAAAAGCAGTCTGCCCGAGCCAGCAGTGACAACCCGCTCGGGTCCCCTTCCACAGTGTGGAAGCTTTGTTCTTTTGTTCTTTGCAATAAATCTTGCTACTGCTCACTCTTTGGGTCCACGCTGCTTTTTATGAGCTGTAACACTCACCGCGAAGATCTGCAGCTTCACTCCTGAGCCCAGAGAGACCACGAGCCCACCGGGAGGAACAAACAACTCCAGACGCGTTGCCTTAAGAGCTGTAACACTCACCGCGAAGGTCTGCAGCTTCACTCCTGAGCCAGCAAGACCACAAACCCACCAGAAGGAAGAAACTCCGAACATATCTGAACATCAGAAGGGACAGACTCCAGACGCGCCACCTTAAGAGCTGTAACACTCACCGCGAGGGTCCACGGCTTCATTCTTGAAGTCAGTGAGACCAAGAACCCACCAATTCCGGACACAATTCCAAAGCAGAAACTCAGTACTAGAAATTCCTTTGTGAACCAGTGCCAAGGTAGTAAAACCTGATGTGTAATTGACAAACTGCTGGAGGCTCACTGTGGAACAATCTGAGACTTAAATCTCTAGGAAGGAGCCAGTAATGGAGGATGACCCTCCTCCCCATTTTTGTGAGTTTTACATTTAGGGATTTGACCAGGTTCTTATGAAAAATATTCTCTCATGATTTTGACAAGGGGAGGAGAAAAAATATACATATGAAATATGCTTAGAATATTCTGTTCTTCTTAATAGTCTTCCCTCAGCATAAACTTACTAGAGCCTAACTGGATGTGGTTTTATCAGAGCCAACTGACCTGAGGAAAGAGGACTGGCCAACTCCAGCTTCCTCTAGTCTTTCAAATGAGAGAGGGAAATCCCAAACTCCAGTTTACTCTAGCTATTCTGTCCCACCTAAGGGATGGTGAGTGAGTCTGAGAAGCACATGTGAAGATCATATTCCAGAGGTACGTCTCCCTAAAAGACTGGGACCTAATAATAAATCTATAGAATACTTTTCCTTCCTCATGTTACTAAAGGCTTATGTATGGCAGTTTCTTTAATCTAGTATATCATGACTGGCTATCAGTAAAAATGTACAAGACTAACTAAAAACACAAAACACAATGTAAAGAGACAGAACAGGCATCAGAACCAGGCTCAGATATAGCAGAGATGTTGAAATTATCAGACTACAAATTTAAAACAACTATGGTTACTATGCTAAGGGCTCAAATAAAGTAGACCACATGAAAAAACAGACAGGCAGTTTAATCAGAGAGATAGAAAGTCTAAGAAAGAATAAAAAAAAATGCTAGAGCTCAAAAGCACTATAACATAAATCACGAATGGCTTTGGTGGGCTTATTAGTAGACTAGACACATCTTAGAAATAATCTCTAAGCTTGAAGATATCTAAAAAAAAACCCTACAAAATTGATAAAAACCAAAGAGAATAATTACTGAAAAAAACAATTACAAAAGGTATAAATATGCAAAACAAGAATACCAGAAGGAGAAGAAAGGAGAATGAAAATAATGAAATATTTGAAAAAATAATAACTGAGCATTTTCCACAAATTAATGTCAGACACCAAACTGGAGATCCAAAAAGCTCAGAGACCATCAAGAAGAAAAAAATGCCAAAGAAACCCTACACCTAGGCATATTGTTTTAAAGCTATAAAAAATTACAAATGAAGAAAAAGTTTGAAAAAAAGCCAGGAGAAAATAATACCACAGAGAGAGGGGAGAGAAAGATGATGAAATAGAAAGATCCACTGATAATCCATTCCACAAAGACAACAAGTTATCAACACTCTACACTGAAAAAAAAATACCTTCATTAGAGCCAAAAATTAAGTACCAGCATGACCACAGGAGGGAGGAGCACCAAGTGGGCTCTTGGGGTCCCCAATTTTAGGACTTGACTCTTATACAGCATTTATGTTTATTTTTATTTTCTATTATACTTTAAGTTCTGGCATACATGTGCAGAATGTGCAGATTTGTTAAATAAGTATACATGGTGGTTTGCTGCCCCCATCACTCTGTCATTTACATTAAGTATTTCTCCTAATGCTATCCCTCCCCTTGTCCCCCATCCCCCAACAGGCCCCAGTGTGTGATGTTTCCCTCCCTGTGTCCATTTGTTCTCATTGTTCAACTCCCACTTATGAGCGAGAACATGTGGTGTTTTGTTTTCTGTTCCTCTGTTAGTTTGCTGAGGATGATGGTTTCCAGCTTCATCCACGACCCTGCGAAGGATATGAACTCATTCTTTTTTATGGCTGCATACTATTCCTCTGTGTATATGTGGCACATTTTCTTTATCCAGTCTATCATTGATGGGCATTTGGGTTGGTTCCAAGTATTTGCTATTGTAAATAGTGCTGCAGTAAACACACATGTGCATGTGTCTTTATGGTAGAATGCATTATAATCCTTTGGGTATATACCCAGTAATGGGATTGCTGAATCAAATGGTATTTCTGGTTCTAGATCCTTGGGGTCTACACAGAATTTCTGGATCTGCCCTGGGCCAGAGTGGAACCTGCTGCCTTGAAGGGTGAGTCCCAGGCCAGGCAGCACTCATGACAAGCTAACTGAAGAGCCCTTGGACCTTGAGGGAACATCTGCAGTATTCTGGCAGTACTCCTTGTGGCCTAGGTGGCTGTGGCTGCAGGGTGAGGCTTCACTGACTTCAGAAAGGGGAGGGAAGAGTAAGAAAAACTGCACCTGGCTCAGCTGCAATATAATAGAACACCAAGTAAACTTCTGAGGTTTTTGAATCTAATCCCTGACCCCCAGATAGCACTTCTGGACTCACCCAAAAGTTGGGAGATCTTGTCAACCTAAAGGAAAAAAACACAGGCCTGGCAAACTTTGCAAACTGCTGATTATAAAGCCCAAGGGCCTTGAGTGAGCATAGATAGTATACAGGGAGTGGGTACAGCAGACCTGGGGTGAGACTCAACGCTATGCTGGCTTCAGGTATGATCCAGTGCAGTCATAGCAGTGGTGGTCACATGGGTACTTGTGTGACTCCACCCCCAGCTTTTGATGACTCAGAAAAAAAGAGAGCAGCTCCATATGTTTAGAAAAAGGTAAGGGAAGAGAACAAGAGTCTCTGCCTGGTAATCCAGAAAATTCTCCCAGATATAGTCCAAAATCATCAAGGCAGTACTTCTAAGAGTCTGCAAGAATCACAGTGTTACTGGCCGTGGGGTTCCCCCTAAAGCAGATACAGCTTATATCATAACACCCAAGTTCTTCCAAATATTGAAGAACCTTCCCAAAAAGGAAGGCTACAGTTATACACAGAGAGTGAAGACTACAATAATTACCTAGATCTCCAGTGCCCAGACACTGAAGAATATCTGCTAGTATCAACACCATCCAGGAAAACATGACCTGTACAAATTAACTAAATAACACACCAGGGACCAATCCCAGAGAAACAGAGATATGTCACCTTTCAGAGAGAGAATTCAAAATAGGTATGTTGAGAAAACACAAATTCAAAATAACACAAAGAATAAATTCAGATAAATTTAACAAAGAGATTGAAATAATTACTTTAATAATAATTAAAGAGATTGAAATAAGTAGCAAGAAGAAATTCTCCAGCTGACAAATGAAATGGGCATACAAACGAGGGCATCAGAGTCCTTAAACAGTAGAATTAATCAAACAGAAGAATTAGTGAGCTTAAAGATTACTATTTGAAAATACACAGTCAGAGGAAACAAACAAACAAACAAACAATGAAGTAAGCCTATAGGATTTAGAAAATATCCTCAAAAGGGAATATCTAAGAATTATTGGCCATAAAGAGGAGGCAGAGAAAGAGATAGGGGTAGATAGTTTATTCCAAGAGATAATAACAGAGAAATTCCCAAACCTAGAGAAACATATCAGTATCCAAGTATAAGAAGGCTACAGAACACCAAGCAGATTTAACCCAAAGACTACTTCAAGGCATTTAATAATCAAACTCCCAAAGGTCAAGGATAAAGAAAGAATTCTAAAAGCAGCTAGAGAAAAGAAACAAATAACATACCATGGAGCTCCAATACACCTGGCAGAATATTTTTCAGTGGAAGACTTATAGACCAAGATAAAGTGGTACGACATTTTAAAGTGCTGAAAAAAATTACCCTAGAATAGTATATTTGGTGCAAATATCATTCAAACATGAAGGAAAATTAAAGACTTTACCAGGCAAACAGAAGCTGACTGATTTGATTAATACCAGACCCATCCTACAATTAAAGAGAGCAGTTCAATCAGAAAGAAAAATACATTAATAAGCAATAAATAATCACTTGAAAATATAAAAGTTACTGGCAGTAGTAAGTATACAAAAAACAGAAAATATTATAGCGCTGTAACTGTAGTGTATAAACTACCTCTATGCTAAGTTGAAAGAGTAAACAATAAAGCAATCGAAAATAATAAGTAGAACAACTTTTCAAGACATATTAATTACCATAAGATATAATTAGAAACAACAAAAAGTTAAAAAGCAAGGGGTTAAAGTTAAGGCTTAGATTATTAGCTTTATTTTTTATATGTTTGTTTGTTTATTCCTATAGTGTTAAGTTGTTATTCGGTTGAAATTATGAATTTTAAGATGGTATTTGCAGACTCATTGTAACTTCAAACCAAAAAACACAACAGATGCACAAAAATAAAAAGGCACTAAATTATATCACCAGAAAGAATTACCTTCACAAGAGGAAGACAGGAAGAAAAGAAAGAAGACCACAAACAAAAAGAAAACAAATAACAAAATGGCAGTAGTAAGTCCTTACATATAAAAAACAACATTGAATATAAATGGACTAAACTGTTCAATCAAAACATATAGACTTACTGAATGGATAAAAAGCAAGACCCATTGATCTGTTGCCTACAATAAACACACTTCATCTATAAAGACACACATGTGGCTGAAAATAAAGGAATAAAAAATGATATCTCATGCCAATGAAAATAAAAAAAGAGGAGTCACTATGCTTATATTAGACAAAATAGATTTCAAGACAAAAACTATAAGAGACAAAGAAGGTCAATATATAATGATAAAAAGGTAAATTCAGCCAGAGCATATAAAAATTTTAAATATATATGCACCAAACCCTGGAGCACTATATGACAATAAATTGAAAAATCCAGAAGAAATAGACAAATTCCTAGATACATACAATCTACCAAGATTAAATCTGAAACCTGAACAGACCAATAAATAATGAGATTGAAGCCATAATAAAAGTCTCCCAGTAAAGAAAAGCCCAGGACCCTATGGCTTCACTGCCAAATTTTATCAAACATTTAGAGAAGAGGTAATACCAATCCTACTCAAACTACTCTGAAAAATAGAGGAGAAGGGAATATGTCCAACCTCATTCCATGATACCAGTATTAGTATTACTCTAATACCAAAACCAGGCAAGGACACATAAAAAAAATGAAAACTACAGACTAATATCTCTGATAAATATTGATGCAAAAAACCTCAACAAAATTCTAGCAAATTAAATTCAACAATACATTAGAAAGATCATTCGTCACGACCAAGTGTGATTTATTTCTGGAATGCAAGGATGGTTCAACATATGCAAATCAATCAATGTGACACATTATATCAACAGAATGAAGGATAAAAGCCACATAATCATTTCAATTGATGCTGACAAAGCATTTTATATAATTTAGCATCCCTTCATGACAAAAATATGCAAAAATCTGTGTATAGAATGACCATACCTTAATATAATAAAAGCCACATATGACAGGACCATGGCTAGTGTAATATTGAATGGGGAAAAACTAAAAGCCTTTTTTCTAAGATCTAGAACCTGACAAGAATGTTCACTGTTACCACTGTTATTCAACAAAGTATTGCAAGTCCTAGCTAGAGCAGTCAGACAAGAGAGACATAAAGGATATACATATTTGAAGAAAAGACATCAAATTATTGTTGTTTGTGAATGATATTATCTTATATTTGAGAAAACCTAAAGACTCCTGTATTAGTCCATGTTTACACTGCTGATAAAGACATACCTAAGACTGGGTAATTTATAAAGAGAAAGAGGTTTAATGGACTCACAGTTCCACGTGGCTGGGGAGGCCCCACAATCATGGTGGGAAGCAAAAGGCATGTCTTACATGGTGGCAGACAAAAGACAATCAGAGCCAAGCTAAAGAGGAAACCCTTGATAAAACCATCAGATCTCATGAAACTTATTCACTACCACTAGAACAGTATGAGGGAAACTGCCCCCATGATTCAATTATGGGTCTCCCACTGGGTCCCTCCCACAACATGTGGAAATATGGGAACTACAATTCAAGGTGGATTTGGGTGGAAACACAGAGCCAACCTGTTTCAACTCCACAGACACACAAAAATATTAGAACTAATAAATTCAGTCAAGTTGCAGGATACGAAACCCACATACAAAAATCAGTAGCATTTCTACATGCCAAAAGTAAACTATCTGACGAAATACAATGTAATCCCATTTACAATAGCCACACATGAAATTAAATACCTATAAATTAACCAAAGTGTTGGGGAAACCAGCCCTACACCACCCAGCTGGTACCCCGAATCCAGTGGAGACAAAGGAATTAGAAAGAGACAGAATAAGATTTTCAAAGGCGGGCCAGGGGACAGGAGCCTCGGAGGCTTGCTCACAGCCCAGAGCTCTTCAGCTCCGCCTAATTTATTGGTTTACAAGCTCTTTGTTCTTAGGGCAAATGGGAGGGGTAGGAAGGAATGAGGAAAAGGATTAAAAGGATTAATCAGGAGAACCTGTGAGTCACTCAATAAGATGTATAGCAGTGGTGGTTTCTGAATTTCCTTGAGCAAAGGCGTGTGGCTAAACTACTTAAGATCTTTAACTTATTGGGACTGAAATGGGTGGGAGTGGCTTTCAGGAGAAGCCAAGATGTTTGATTACACTCCACTGCTTCAAGGGAGTGTTATCTCCCCAAGCAACCTGTGGCATGCCACTGAGCTGTTATGCTCTTGGTACATAAAGATATGAAGGCAATAAGGAGACTTTTCTCCACAGAGGCCGCCCATGGCTCCCCAGGGGTGTCTCACACAGGGGAGACCATATCATCTGGCATCCCAGAAACTCTCTTTCCCACACAAAGAAATGAAAGATCTGTATAATAAAAATTAAAAAGTCATGAAGGAAATTTAAGAGAATACCAAAAAATTGAAAAATATTTCATGTTCATAGATTGAAGCAATCAATATTGTGAAAATGTCCATACTACCCAAAGCAATCTACTTATTCAATACAATTCCTATAAAACTATCAATGACATTCTTCAGGGACATAGAAAAAAAAATCCTAAAATTTATATGAAACCACAAAAGACCCATAATAGCTAAAGCTATTCTAAGCAAAAGAACAAAAACGGAAGAACCACATTCCCATACTTCAAATTATGCTTCAGAGCTATATTAACAATAGCAAGGTACTGGCATAAAAACAGACACATAGACCAGTGGAACAGAATAGAGAACCCAGAAACAAATCCAGACACCTACAGTGAACTCATCTGTGACAATGACTTCAAGAAAATAGACTGGGGAAAGGAGAGAGTCTTCAATAAATGGTGCTGAAAATGCTGGATATCCATATGCAAACAAAGGAATCTAGACCCCTAACTCTCACCAAATATAAGAATCAAATCAAAGTGGATTAAAGACTTAAATCTAATACCTGAAACTATGAAATGACTGCAAGAAAACATTGGGGAAAACCTCCAGGACATGGGTCTGGGCAAAGACTTCTTGAGCAATACCTTACAAGCACAGGCAACCAAAGCAAACATAAACAAATGAAATCACGTCAAGTTAAAAAAAGCTTCTGCACAGCAAAGAATACAATCAACAAAGTGAAGAGTGAACCAACAGAATGGGAGAAAATATTTGCAACTACCCATCTGACAAGGGATTAATAACCAGAACATATAAGGGGCTCAAACACCTCTGTAAAAATGAATCTAATAATCCAATCCAAAAATAGGCAAAATATTTGAATAGACATTTCTCAAAAGAAGACATGCATATGGTAAACAGGCATATGAAAAGGTGCTCAACATCATTGATCATCAGATAAATGCAAATCAGAACTACAATGAGATATCTCCCCCTAGTTTAAATGGCTTATATCCAAAAGACAGGCAAAAACAAATCTCGAGAAAATGTAAAGAAAAGGGAACCCTTGTACACTCTTGGTGGGAATGTATATTTGTACAACCACCATGGAGAACTGTTTGGAGGGTCAAAAAAAGAAAAAAAAAAAAAAAAACAAGAAATGAGCTACCATGTAATCCAGTAATCCCACTGCTGGGTTTATACCGAAAAGAAAATAAATCAGTATATCAAAGATGTATCTGCACTCCTATGTTTGTTGATGTTTGTTGTAGCACTGATTACAATAGCTAAGATTTGGAAGCAATCTAACTCTTCATCAACAGATGAGTGGATCAAGAAAATGTGGTACATACACAATGGCATACTACGCAGGTATAAAAAATGATATCTAGTCATTTGCATCAACACTAATGGAATTTTAGATCATCATGTTAAATAAGTCGGGCATAGAAAGGGAAACATTGCATGTTCTCAATTATTTGTGAGATCTAAAAATAAAAACAATTTAACTCATGGACATAGAGAATAGAAGGATGGTTACCAGAGGCTGATAAGGGTAGTGGGGTGTTTTGGCAAAGTGGTTGTATTAGTCCCTTCTCACACTGCTGTAAAGAACTACCGGAGACTGAGTAATCTATAAAGGAAAGAGTAATTGACTCACAGTTTCCCATGGCTAGGGAGGCCTCAGGAAATTTACAATCATGGCGGAAAGTGAAGGGAAAGCAAGTCACATCTTTCATGGCAGCAGGATAGAGAGAGAGAGAGAGAAGGGGGAAGTGCCACACACTTTTAAACCATCAGATCTTGTGAGAACTCACTCACTCTCCTGAGAACAGCAAGGAGGAAACCCGCCTCCATGATTCCATCACCCCCGCCAGGCCCCTCCTCCAACACGACATTAGATTTCGGCGGGGACACAAATCCAAACCATATCAGTGGGGACAGTTAATGTGTACAAAAAAAGTAGAATGAATAAGACCTACTACTTGACAGCAGAACAGGGTGACTATAGTCAATAATAACTTAACTGTATATTTTAAAATAGCTTAAAGAATGTAATTGATTGTTTTTAACTCAAAGAATAAATGCTTCAGGGAATTAATACCCCATTCTCCATGCTGTCCTCCTTTCAAATTGCATGCCTGTATCACAACATCTAAGGTACCCTATAAATAATACACCTACCATGTACCAATAAAAATGTAAAAAAATAATTAATTTTTATAAAATAATACTGTACATATTGAGGAACAAAGATTAGAATAGCATCTGACTTCTCCAAGGCAATCATGCAAGCAAGAAGAGAGTAGAGTAAAATATGTAACATGTTGAGTGAAAACAGTAGCTACATGCATGCACTTTTTAAAAAAAGGATAAAGATATCTTGGTGGTGGTTTCACAACATTGTATGAACAATGTCACTGAATTGTACATTTTAAAATGGTTAAATTGGCAGATGTTGTATACATTTTTACTAAAATTAAAAAATGTAATAATACAACGTAACAAAGATTACTGAATCATATACTTTAAGCAGGTGAATTGTATGGCATATAAAGTATATCTTAATAGAGCTGTTTTTATAAAAAGAGAAAAGGAGATTATTCAGACTGAGCATTACTTGTGCCACTAAAAATAAATGAGAAACTCTGACGTGTTGCTATATAGTCTTCAATGAACCAGCTATCTTTCATTACGTTATTTTCTGTAGAAAAACTCTCATGTTTCTTTGATGTGTTTCTGCCATCAGAAGAGGAGATATTTTTATATTTTATCCTCTTGAATCTTTTGACTTGAAGACACGGTGCTACCAACTGTCCTATGACAATGTGTGCAGTTAGTAATCATTATGTTCTTCTGGTATACGTCTTAGCCTCCCCCAGTTCAAGGTAGGCAAGGTCTACACTTTCTCTACCCTATAATCTTGCTAAAAGGTTACTATTGTAAAATAAAACTAGTTAGATCAATCAGTGTTAAACCTACATTAATGAAGAAACAGACAAAAAAACATATAATGAATCTTTGTAACACATAAAAGTCCAATTCTCTGTCCTCAGGTGGTCTAAGAAGCCTTTCCAGGAAGAAGTAATAATATACCAATGATAGAACTGGTCAGTCTTATCATGGGTCAGAGGTCAGAGGCCTTCTGAAATGTAGGAGTAGGGATATCACAAGACTAACCACATAGATATTATAACACAGAGAGGTACTTTAGAGTGCCTCATTTAAACAATTAAGTTCTGTTCACAACTTAGGTGATTTATTGGTGGTATGGCAGACCAGTTAAAAATAACTCTATGTAACTTACCCTTAATCATCATGCTGGAAAGTCAAAATGCTAGTAATAATCTCTCAGTGAGTACCTACTATGGGCCAGATAGTATCATAATCTGGGTTCCCATAAAACAAGCATGAGATAAGGACTTGGGAACTTATTCCAGCAAGCAGGAATGTATCAGTGTGTGAAAACAATGAGACAGGGAAAGAAGAAAAGGGTTTAGTTTGTGTGGATTACGACTATTCAGGTGGCACTTAACCTGAGTGCTAAAGGTTAAGCAGGGCTTCAAATCAAAAATCTGTATAAGTATGTTCCTAGATGGGGCATAAAAATGTGTAAAGTCATGAGACAGGGTGACCTACTCATGAGACACCAAGAGGAAGAAAAAAAGACGTTTGAAATTGTGGCAAAGATAAAAAATACCATGAATTTGCTCAAATGGGAGAATGGTTAAACAATAATGACATCATCATGCTTTGTAATTCTGCAACACGATGATGATTAAAAGCAATCTTCTAGATCAGCAATTTTCAACCATTTTGGTCTCAGGACCCCTTTGCATTTTTGATAATTATTAAAAAGCCTAAAAAGCTTTTGTTTACAGAGGTTATATCAGTTGCTATTTGCCACATCAGAAATTAAACTGAAAATAAATTATTAATTGACTTTAATGTAATACTAATAATAAACCAATGACATGTTAACATAAATAGTACATTTTAAGAAGAAACTATATTTTCAAAATGAAATATATTGAGAGAAGTGGCATTGTTTAAAATTTTTGCACATATCTTTAATACCTCATTTAATAGAACACAACTGTATTCTCATATGTGCTTTTGCATTTAGTCTGTAATGAGATGTTGCTTTGTTTGATGCATACAAAGACAATTCAGCTTTACACAAATTACTAGCTGAAAAAGAAAAGGATATTTTAATTGCCTTTTCAACAATTTTAAATATCCTGTGATACTACAACAAAACTCAACTGGTAGGAGTCTCTTAAAGGTTACTACAGTGTGAAATCTGAAACTGTTTCAGTGAACATTTAGCGTGGTGAATGGATTTTTCTTCACATGGATGATTTTGTAATGTCTGCAAGGTCATGTAAAAATACTGCTTCACATTTGTAAATATCATCATGCATCTTATGAAAAAAGGTCTGAGATATTGGGAAACTGAAACTCATGGTGGTAGATACAAAATTTGCAAAAGTTTTAATTTTCCGTGAATTGTCAAGTATTATCATTGGCAGTAGCTACTATCCCTTGCTTTCATTGAAGTGGCATACTCATTTCATTTATAAATATCTTCAAATAACCAAGTCTGAAGAAGCATCATTTTTTTTCTGTTTTTTTTTTTTTTAGGGAAAATATGATGTTCCATGAAATATAGCCGCCAATGCAGTTCATAACTCAAATAATTATACAAATGCTTTTTCTGAAGATAACCATCTCACATCAGTATGTGATTTAGAAGTACTTTATGTATACTTCTCATTTTGTCATATGGCTTACTAAAAAGACATGTTCAAGAGTGGAACAGTAATTAAAATTAATCATGCTTTCTGCTTCATCAAGTACATTCTTCAGTGAAACTGGAATTTTTAAAACTGAAAGTGCATGACAGTGAAGAAAACATGACCACTTGTGCAGTTTGATGCCACTTTCTTAATTTATGCTAAGGTGCAAGCTGTGTTACTTACCATTGGTTTTACACCATCAGTACAAATGTCTACACGGTGAAAAAAAATAGTTTTGATCTTGCAGACTCCCTAAAAGCTTTGTGGGGAGCCCTAGACGTGTATGGAGTACCAATGCTATCTATCTATCTATCTATCTATCTATCTATCTATCTATCTATCTATCAGTATGTGTGTGTGTATATATATACATATATACATACACACACAATGTATGATGTATATCATACATGATATCTTCTGCTACATAATTCCAAATGCATAGTATCTTATTAAGCCTTAACCTTTACTTTAAAAAGAAATACAAAAATTGACTCAAAATTATGGAAAGAGAAAGCCTTTGTCCTTTTATTTCTACCTGCACTGTTTGAAAGCTGATTCTGAAGCTGTTCATTTTCCTGTACTTCCAATCTTCCCTGCTTCCTTAGCTTGGGTCTCCTGAGAAGCAAACTGCAAGACAAGATGAGGTATGCCAAATATTTATTTATGGAAGGAACAGGAGGTGAGGAGAGCCTTCATACTGTGATTCAGTTCTGACACCTCTGAAAGGGGAGAGAAAAGGAAAGAGAATTAAGTAGACAGAGGCTAGGATTACAGGGCAGTTCCAACGGTCGTTTAGCCAGGACCATGTGGAGACATCAAACTAAAGTCTTCCATTGTAGGAGTTCTATGTTCCTCCACAACAGACCTTACTATCTTCACTCTGCTCAGTCATTGGCTGGGTGAAGCCCATGGGCAGTGAGACTTTGGCAGGCATGTAGTGGTAGATTCACAAGGAGAGTAGCAGGGACCATCAGTCTACCATGCTACCTGAAGCATGACATCTGAGTGGCACATTTTCATGACCCTGCAATTTACCCCTTGTGCCAAACGAATCCACTTGTCCAAGCAAGTTTTTAGAACATCATCCATTGTTCCCAGGGTTCTGTCTTCCTGACAGAAATCTTAAAAACAAGAGTTTTGTGAACAAACTACAATCTCTGGCATTGTAATTGATCTTAGGAACATAACTGGCACTTATCTTTATTCTCTCTTCTCCACCACATAGTCTAGATTACCTTTACCCTCGGCTATCACTGAGGCAGAAAAGTAGAGTGGGCCAGAGGCTACAAAGCACGTCTAGGTCCTAAGTAAAATGAGGGGATATGTATCAGGACATTTACTTGCTCAGCTTTTCACTCTGCAAGGTCTCTCCATGGAGATAATGTAGAAGGCACTGGCACAGAACAATTTAAACTTTTGGAGGTGAATCTTTCACTCCTGAGAGCGTAATATTGTGAGGCATTTTTATATACTTTGATAATATCGGTGCTGATATCTTCTGCTAGGTAATTCAAAATGCAGAGTATCTTATTAAGCCTTAACCTTTACTTTACAAAGAAATATACAAATTCACAGCTAAATCCTCCTTAATAACAGTTGTTAGCTGACATTTGGTATATGCTTAATGGTTCCTGCTGTTTCTTGAGAGGTAAATATAATCCTACAGCATCTAATTTCCCTTTGGGACTATCATCAGGCCTCATCTACAGATACCCAAGGATATTCAGCTCTTAACCACTTCCTTGAATTTTATTTTATGTGCCTTTATTTTATATTAAAAATAATCATTGCTTTCTTCAAAAATTTGCTTCTCAAAAGTAACACCATACTTCTATCTTTTGGGAAATAAATTGAATTTGATTTCTAACAAAAGGTTTAGAATATCATTTCATCTCCCCCCGTTTTTTTTTTTTTTTTTTTTTTTTGCAGTGAAGGAAATCAAGACCCAGCATTAAAAAATGTGACATTTCCAAATGAATAAAGCAGGTTAACGGCAGAGTTGGTAGTAGATGGAGGTACCATCAAAATCCTTCCAGGTAAACAAAAGAAATATACAATCTGGGACAACTGTTATTTGGCAAGGTGAGAGCTAAATGAAACAGTGGGACAGTAACAGATGATGATAATGTTTGATAGAATTAGCATAAATTTCCATATTCTTTGATTTGACTTTAACAAATCCATTACATTTTAGTAATCCTGTCTTTGTTTTAATATGTTCAGTGGCTTTGCCTCCCTCATCTTAAGGGCAGTTATAAAAGAAATTATATTTACAATCAAATATAGAGATAAAATGAATGCTGTCTCATGTGTTATAAAAAGATAATTACCATGATAACAAGAGTATATTGAATGTAATTTAATTGCCTATATTCATCATCTTTCTTTGCTTATAGGCTAAACTGTCTACAAAAAAGTTATGCACATAGCATCGCAATTGTCCAAATACTCCCCTCTAGCCAGACGTGCTAGAATTTTCATAAAGCTTCCCTTTGGTTGGTTTCACTTCTCTTCACAAAACTTTCCATCAAGCTTGCTTCAGTCATCTCACAATATGCTAGTTTTTAGATCTCTAACAGCCCACCATTGTGTCTTATTTTTCTCTCAGTTACTTTCCACTTTTCTGTTCAAGTGAAGGAAATAATATGTCATGATATACTGTCTAGTCTTTGACTTCCCACAAAGAGTTGCATGTCATCTCCCACACCAGGAAGCCTTAAGGAGCAATTCAAGTTTCCTTGCACTTCCGTCTTTTATCTGGAACTGGAACTAGGGGTAGCAGAAGGTGGGGAAGTACACAGTTAAAACAAAAATAGAGTGAAAAATGTTATTCATATTGAATGTATCAAAATGTTAATTATTTCAATTTCTCTTAGGGTATGCTAATATTTTCTCTATGTTAAACTCGCACAAGTCACTAAAATATTTAGAATTCAATATGGTTATATTGACCAAGGTAGGCTAGGTTATGCTACAGTAACAAATACATTTCAGATCTCTGTGACTTAAAATAAGAAGTTATTTCTTCCTCAGATGACATATCCATCATTGTTTCACAGGGAAGCTCATCTATTGTAGCTACTCATTCCCCCCAGGTTGTCAGAAACAGCCATCATCTTGTAACATTGCTTGCCACTATACCAGAGGGAAAAGAAGACTCTACAATGTATGACATTATTAATTAAATGATGCAGTGAGGAAGGGACACAGTCAACTCTGTTCACACTCATCAGACAGAACTAATTCACTGTATGTTTGTTCCCAGAAAAAGAAACAATGTGTGGGGCAAACACAGCTAACGGCTATTACAAAGAAAAAAAACCATGTTTCTTTTGTTCTCTTGTCTTATGGCCCTTAAGAAAATATTAAAACATAACTATCTTCATTTAAAATATATATATATGTATGTGTGTGTGTGTGTGTGTATGTGTGTGTGTGTGTGTGTGTGTGTGTGTGTGTGACTCCAAGGATCAGTTTTCTGTAACTGCCCAGTGAAAATGGGAATATCCTCTGAATTGTCCTGACAAGTCTGCCTTCTGGTTAGGTTCTTTCAAGGGAAGTGATCTCAGTACCTAAGTGTCCTATATGTAGACACTTAGCATTGTTATTCAAGAATAGTGTTCTTTATTTTTGGCTGAAATTTAATTTGTCATAACTGTATTCCTCCAGGTTCTTCCCTCTAGAAAAATCAGAATTCAGTCATCCCTCAGATATCTGGGGGATTGGTTTCAGATCTCCAGGACCCCCACCATACACACACAATACGCAAATCTGCACACACTCAAGTCACACAGTTGGCTTGACAAAACCTGGATATATGGAAAGCTGGCCCTCTGTGTATACAAGTTTCACATCCCATGAATACTGTGTTTCAGATCCTGGTTTGGTTGAAAACAAATCCGCATATAAATGGACTTATGCAGTTCCAACGTGTGTTGTTCACAGGCCAACTGTGTATTAATAATAGCAGAAATAGTGATATGCATATAGAAATATACTAATTCTGAAAAGAACTCTATACATTAGGCAGTATTATCTCCATGTAAACAGTGACTACTCTTTCACATAACACAGTTTTAAATATATGAAAATAAGTATTTGCTAACCATTCCCACTTTCTCCAACTATTTCTCATGAAATGATTTCTAAATACTTTATCTCCTTCTTTGGCTTATTCTGAATGTACTAGTTTGGCGATACTCTTCTAGTGCTGTGGTTCTTAGAAAGAGCCATAGTACTCTAAATAGGGTTAGAACAGCACATAGCTAAATAGGATTTTTTTTCAGTTGCTATCTTACATTACTAGTGGTATAGACAATGTACACGAGTTGTTTAGTGTATTTATGTGTCTGCTTTAGCAGTCCCAAGTCAATCATCCAGCCTGATTTAATTTTAATTTCCTTTTATAACCTCAGCCCAGGACTTAGACTACAGTTCACTCTAAATATTCAGTGATAGATTTAAACCCTGTGCTTTCTTCTCCAATGTCTCTGAAGTAGTTTCCAATTTTTGCTGTATAAATTACCACGAACTTGGTGACTTAAAACAACACAAATGTATTGTCTTCCAGTTATGGAAGTCAGAAGTCTAAGGTAAGTTGGCAAGGCTGTATTTCTTCTGGAGACTACAAAAAAGGATCAAATCTTTGCCTTCTCCAGCTTCTAGAGGCTCCATAAACATCTTGGTTTATAACCCCACATCACTCTGACCCCTGCTTCCATCATCACATCTTCTTATTGGACTCTAACCTTCTTTCCTCCCTCTTATAAGGACCATTGTCATTACATTGTGCTTATCTAGATAGTCTCTGATCATCTCCACATCTCGACATCCTTAACTTAATCACATCTTCAATGTCACTTTTGCCATGTAAGGTAATTATCTTTGCAGTTTTGGGGGTTTAGGATGTAGATAACTTTCTAGAGCTATTATTTTGCCTACCACAATCTCCTATAACTTGTCTCCTTTCTCATTATGCTTCAGCCACCCTAACTGTATCATTCAGGGTTTTAAATTAAAAGTAACAGGGATGTATGCTGAATAATTAATGAGAAAATGAGCTTATTAAAATAAATTTTTAAAAATTGTTGGAAGGATTAAAGAATCAGGCTCCAGGCTATACATACAGAAATAGCAGCCAAAATTATCTTCAGAACTGGTGGCATGAGAGAATCACTGCAGCTATTGAGCACTAAATATGTACCACATCATTTCTGAGCCAGGAACGTAACTTTGCAGCATCATTATGACTGCTAAAGAGAAAAGGCCAATGACCCCTCCCCGGGCCTCTATCTCTTGAATCAAAATTTCAAATGACTGTGTCTGATTGTTGAAGCCTGAGTCATACTTCCGTACCCTATGTCTAAGCGTGTTAGTAAGGGCTTTCCAAAGAAACAGGACTAATAAGAGATAGGTGACAGGGAGAGACAGAGAAAGAGAGAGAATGATGAAAGAGGATTTAATTGGGAAATTGGCTCACACAATTGTGGAGACCAAGAAGTCCCATGATAGCTGCAAGCTAGAGATGCTGGCTCAGTCAAAGTCAGAAGGCCTCAGAACTAGGAAAGCCAATGGTATAACTCCCAGTCCAAGATCACAGGCCTGAGAACTCAGGGCAATGCTGGTACAAGTCCTGGGGTCCAAGGGCTGCGGAGCCTGGAGTTGTTGTCCAAGGAAAAGAGAAAGGGTATATCACAGCTTCAGCAGATGGATCAAAACATTTATCCTTTCTCTGTGTTTGTTGTCTCAGGGCACTCAGAAGATTGGATGGTACCTGTCTACGTAGAGGGCAGACGTTTCTCACCTAGTTCACTCAACTCACAGGATAATCTCTTCTGACACATACCCCAAATATAATGCTTTAACAAATTTCTAGGTATTTTTTAATCCAGTCAAGTTGACATCTAAAATTAAACATAACAGCAAGAAAGGCCAAAAAGTTAAATACTTAATATTTCACCTCTTGAAGAAAGAGGCATAAAGAGTTAAAAAGACAAGACTTCACTCTATTAAATCTTGCAACTGCAAAAAAAAAAAAAAAAAAAAAAAAAAAAAAAGACAAGACTTCTCAAAACAAAGGAAAGGCTTCAAGATTTCAGGTTGCCTGAACACATTGCAAATATCTGCATCCACCATAGCTCTCTTTCTAAATTATGTTGTTTGGTCCTGAATCAAGACCTTTGTACTTGTAATCACTTCCTCTCTGAACATTCTTTATGTTCTTCATATGGTTAACTCATTCTCCTTATTCAGATTTCAGCTCAAATCTCCTCTAAGTGGTCCATCTGGCAACATTATCTAATGTTCTTCCCTAGTCACCCTCTATCTTTACCTTGTTTTATCTTCTTTATACCACTTACCACTATTTAAATTTAACATAAATTTTACTTGTGGACTTATTATTGTTATGCATCCCCACTAGACTATAAGTTCCCTGAGAGTAGTGACCATGTCAATTTTATACATCACTATACTCTCATGTTGGCATAGTACCTGGCACATAGTCAGTTCTCAAAACATACTTGTTGAATTAAAAAAAAATGTGGTATAGTAGAAGAGGTACATGAATTGAAAGTAAACATACCAAAGTTTGAACCCTTGCTATACCAAATACAAACTATGTGACCTAAATTAAGTGATTTAACATATTTGGACATTTAATTTCTCATCTGTAAATAATAATGATGATAATAATAATGACAGAAACATCATTTTGAAAAAAAAATGTGTAAAGTCCTAGATCATTGCAGTAGAGAAGTTTGTAAAAGTTATCACTGATTCAGTAATTAATACTAAAAAGAGACTATGAGGATATATGTATATATACACATACATACATACACAGTTGAACCTAGAACAACAAACAACATGGGTTTGAATTGCATGGACCCATTTATACATGGATTTCTTCCACCTTAGCCACCCCTGAGACAGTAAGACCAACTCCTCTTCCTCCTCCTACTCAGCCTACTCAGTGTGAAGACAACAAGGTCGAAGATCTTTATTGTGATCCACTTCCACTTTATATGAAGATCTTTACTGTGACCCACATTTACTGAATAGTAAATATATTTTCACCTTCTTATGATTGTCTTGATAACTTTTTCTTTTCTTTAGCTTACTTTATGGTAAGCATATAGTATATAATACATACAACATACAAAATACGTGTTAACTGTTTATGTTATCGATAAAGTTTCTGGTCAACGGTATACTATTAGTAGTAATTTTTCAGGGAGCCAAAATTTATATACAGATTTTTTTTCTTGTTATATTTATTTATTTTAGATGTGCAGAATGTGCAGGTTTGTTGCATAGGTATACGTGTGCTGTGGTGGTTTGCTGCACCTACTGGACCCATCCTTTAAGTCGCCTCCCCTCAACCCCCACCCCACAACAGTCCCTGGTGTGTTGTTCCCCTCTCTGTGCCCATGTGTTCCCAATGTTCTCCTCCCACATATGAGTGACAACATGTGGTATTTGGTTTTCTGTTCCTATACACAGATTTTTGAATGTGCAGGAAGTCAGTGCCCCTAACCTCTGCATTGCTTAAGAGTCAACTTTATAATATATACATATGTATAGGTATGTATGTAAAATGCATATACTTATGAATTTTATATATAATTGTGCATAATCAGCAAAGGGAGTTTCTTCTGAATATCAACTGAGCATAATATACAATATTACGAATATAAATATATATATCATTTTCTTTCAATAACATTAGAGCTATGTGGTTTTCAAAAAATGCAGAAGTAATGAAACACACATATCTTAGAAATTAACTTTAATCATACACAAATAAGCCTGATATTAGTTCAACTGGGTATATATTATACACGTATGTATATACAAATATTAAGAATGTATATATATGTACACATAAGTTTCTACAAATATTAAGAATAAGGGAGATGAGGAAGAGGACAAGGAGAAGAAAATAAAAAGGACTAGCAGCAGAAAATACTTGGCAATGGACAAGGGACACAGAATATGACAATTTCACATACTACTTATGGTCGTTATGAAGGAGATCATTACTATGAAAAGTAATTTGTCAGTGTCTACTCAAAGTCAAAAATTTAGTCCAGCAATTCTCTTTGTAGGAATTTATGCTAAGTATATAAGAAAAGATATATGCAAAACTTTATAGCATTGCTCCTCAAAGCACTGATTATAATATTGAAAATTATTTAAATAAATGCTATATATTAATGCAATAGGGATGCCTATGTTTCAAAAAATCAAGTGATATAAAAATATATCTTCATATGTTATTTTAGCAGCATTATTGAGATATAATTTACATACAATCCAATTTATTCAATGAGTACAATTCAATTATTTTTTGTATATTTACAGTTGTGCAGTATTTACCACAATCAGTTTTAGAATATTTTATCACTTATAAGAGAAACACCATACCCATTAGCAGTTATTCCTTATTCTTACCTTCCTCCAGTCGTTGGCAATTACTAATTTAGTTTCTGTCACTATGTATATATTCTGGAAATTATGTATAAATAGATAATCTATAGACTTTTATAGTGAGGACTTTTGCGTCTGAGTTCTTTCATTTAGAATAACGTTTTTAAAGATCATCTGTGTTATAGCATTCCTTTCCCTTTATTCCTTTTTTATTTCCAAATAATATTCCATTGTATGGATATATCACTTTTTCTTTACCATTAATGTGTTGCTGGACATTTGGGTTGTTTCCACATTTTTGGATACTATGAATAATGCTTTTATGAACATTCTTGCACACGTTTTTGTATAAACATGTGTTTTTAATTTTGGAGATATAATACCTGTGAGTAAAATTGTTGGGTCATATGATGATTCTATATTTCATTTATTGAGGAACCATCAAAATGTTTTCCTCAGCAGCCGCATCATATTACATCCACATGACCTATGTAAGAAAGTTTCCATTTCTCCATACCCTGGCCCACACTTATTATCTGTCTTTTTGATCATCACCATATTAGGTGAAGTGAAGTGTTATTGTGACCTTGATTTGCATTTCCTTAATGATCAGCATTGCATATTTTTTCACATGCTTGTTAGATACCTGCATGTCTGCTTTAGAGAAATATTTGTTCAGATTATTTGCCAATTTTCCAAGTAAGTTATTTTTCTTTTTATGACTGAGGTATAACAGTCATATATTCTGAATAACAATTCCTTATCAGATATATCATTTGCAAATATTTTCTACAATTCTGTGGGTTTCATTTTAATTTTTACAATAGTATTTTTTTAATTTTTAATTTTTGCAAATAGTAGTTATATGTATTTATGGGCTACATGAGCTACTTTGATACAGGAATGCAATACAAGCTAATTACACCAAGGCAAATAGGGTATCTATTACCTCAAGCATGTATCCTTTATATTTCAAACAATCTAATTATACTTTTAGTTATTATAAGATGAACAATTAAATTATTTTGTACTATAGTCACCATGCTGTGCTAGCAAATACTAGGTCTTATTTATTTTTTCTATTTTTTGTGGATGGGGTTCTCTAAAGCAAACTTTATTTTAATTTGGATGAAGTCCAATTCATTACTTTATTTTGCTTTTGTACTTGGGGTGGGATAGCTAAGAAATCTTTGCCTAGCTCAAGGACACAAAGATTCACACCTATGTTTTCTTATGATAGTTTTATAGTCTTAGCTTTTACATGTAGTTCATCAATCCATTTTGTGTTTATTTTTGCCTATGGTGTACATAAGTGTCCAAATCTATTTTTTTCTGCATATGAATATCTAGCTATTACAGCATTTATTTGCTGAAGAAAACAATTATTTCTTCATTATTTTATTTTGGCATGCTTGTTGAAATTCTGTTTACTCTAAAACATGAGAATTTATTTCTGGACTCTAAATTCTATTCCATTGGTCTATATGTCTATTGTTATTCCAGTACCACACTGTTTGGATGACTGTAGTTTTCTGCTAAATTTGGGAAATACAAAGTGTGAGACTTCCAAATATGTTTTTCTTTTTCAAGATTATTTTGGATATTCTGAGTCTCTTGAATTTCCATATTAATTTTATCATTGGTTTTCCAATCTCTGCAAAAAGAAAAGGAGTTGGAATTTTGATAATGATTACATTGAATCTGTGGATCAATTTCAGAAATATTGCCATTGTATTAGTCCATTTTCATATTGCTATGAAGAAATACTCAGGACTGGGTAATTTATAAAGAAAAAGAGGTTTATTGGACTCACAGCTCCACTTTGCTGAGGAGGCCTCATAATCATGGCAGAAGGCGGAGGAGCAAAGGCATGTCTTACACGGCAGCAGGATAGAGAGTGTGTGCAGGGGAATTGCCGTTTATGAGACAATCGGATCTCATGAGGCTTATTCACTGTCACAAAGACAGCATGGGAAAAACCCACCCCCATGATTTGATTACCTTCTACTGGGTCCCTCCAGTGACATAATTCCTCCTAGGAATTATGGGAGCTACGATTCAAGATGAGATTTGGTTGGGAACACAGTCAAATCATATCAGTCATTTTGTCAATAGTGTTTCCATCCATGAACATGGATATATTTCCATTTATTTAAGTCTCATTAAATTTATTTCAATAATATTTTACAATTTTCAGTGTACAAATGTTGCAATTTTTGGTTAAATTTATTTCCAAACATTTGATTCTTTTTGATGCCTTCTTAAGTGTAATTATTTCTTAATTTCCTTTTGGATTGGGCTTGTGTATTGAAGTAAAACTCACTTTTTAAATTTGATCTTGTATCTTTCAACCTTGTTGAGCTGACATATTAGCTTGAATAGTTTGTGTTTGTATATTTCTTATAGTTTTCTATATAGAAGATCATGTTATCTGTAAATAAAGATTTACTTCTTTCTTTCCAATCTGGATACATTTTACCTGATTTCATTTTATTGCCTAATTTTTCTGGCTAAAGCATTTAGCAAGATGTTGACTCAAAGAGGTGTGAATGAATATCTTTGTCCTCTTCCTAAAGTTAGGTGGAAAGCTTTTAGTTTTTTACCATTAAGTATGATATTAGCTCTGTGTTTCATGACAAAAACACTCAGCAAACTAGGAATATCAGAGAACTTTCTTAGCCTTATATATTTTCAGTATCTATTATATTGATAATCTTTGTTATCAGTTATTGATATTATGAATTATATTAATGATTTTTAAAATATTAAATGATTACTACAATCTTCGGATTAACACTTCATGGTCAATATATATTATTTTCAATATAATGCTGAATTCAACTACCAGTATATTATATTGAATTTATGTATCTCTATTTTATAAATAAAATTCAGCTGTTGTTTGCATTTTTCTATGTTTCATACAAACTGTATCAAGATTATACTATCTCCATAGGATGTACTGAAACAATTTGCTTTTTTCTTTATGTTCTAAAACAGATTAATAGCATAAAAAGTATATATTATTAGAAGAAATAAAATTACTCAGAGATAACTTTTTATTAGACCAGGGTTCTTTAGGAGGAAATATACTTTTACCCTTGAAATTTTTATTTCCTTTTTTTTTAATCATTCCAGATTTTCTATTTTCTTCTGACATCATTTTGGAAATTTATATTTTCTTAGTAAATTATCAGTTTCATGAATATTTTCTAAGTTTGTCACTTACTTACAATTTTTATTCTTCAGACATCTAATTTTTTCTTCATTTTTGGTTTGTTTTATCTTCTATTAGATTTATCTGTGCTGGATTTATTCCTCTCTATTTTATGGTCTTCAATTCATTTGTCAATTTTTATAATTTATATCTTTACTGAAATAAAAGAAATTTGGATTTTATGTAAGATTATAAATTTGTAGAGGGATAATAATCTAATTTGTCTTTACTAATCAGGTCAATATGAAATGTACTTGATTGTTCAGTACTTGAAGTCACAACCAAAGCACAAAGTGTCTGATTATAATGAACTCTAATTTCAGACAAAGTATCCAATAGGAAATTACAAGGATTTGTTATTTCTCAGCATCAAATTCTGAAGACTAAAATAAGATTCATTATCAACACTGTTGTTTTTCTATATTGAAAGTAACTAGCTATTTTTCTTTGAACATCAATATTTTTAAAAGATCTTTTTGTATTTTGACTGAAGATGCATATAATTAAACTTACTAATTTTATTACATGTGGATATTTATGTCTAATCAGAAAAGGGAGTTTCTTTTAAATATCTATTGGGCATAATATAGCAGATAGATAGATAGATAGATAGATAGATAGATAGATAGATAGATAGAAATATATATCTAGATTCATTTGTCTATTTATCTGTATATATCCATTTTCATTTCATAATGTTAGTTTCACTTGTTTTTCAAAAAGTAGAGAGGGAATAAAACAAGCATACCCCTTAGCAATTAACTTTAATCATATACAAATAAAACTGACATGATGTCAACTGGGTAGGCACTTGAGTAGATAAATCTTGCCTTCTCAACTAAATTATTACTCTAATAATAGCTGTTGCTGCAGAACTTGCCACTGTGTGCTTGAATTTTTAGATTTCCTGTAGTGTCAGCAAAAAGCAGATTACTAAACCTTGAAAAAAAATTTCATGTGTGATTTGAAGGGGATTTAATTTTGTTATTTTAACCAGTGCTTGGCAGCACAGCAAAGAGGTTAACATTCAAATATGAGAATTACTAAAGACCATCTGGGTTTTATTTTCCTAATATATGGTTATTGTAATTTATTTCTTGTGGAGTGCAGACCCATATTAGTTATTCCAAAGAGTTGAGCCTTACTTTGTTTTAAAAATCATGAGGGAGGTTGATTTCTGGGGCTGATCATGGGTTGAATTTTATACGAAATATTAAAAATGATAGAATTATGTTTAAGTGTAATAAATTTATCACTTGTGACAAAAATCTGAAACAACACATCATTTATAAATGGACATACAAGACAAATTACTGAGATAACAAATTATTTTGAAACTTTTTTGTCAAAACCAATGTTTCCTAAACTGTTGTAAAAAAAAAAAAACAAAAAAACAAAAAACCTATATCAGAATGACTTAAGAGCTTGCTAAAATTGCAGAATCCTGGGACCTATCTCATACTTGGGCAATGATAATAGTTTGGATGTTTGTCCCTGCCCAAATCTTCTAATACACTGTAATCCCCAGGAATAAATGGAGCAAGATGGTGGAATAGACTGCTCCACCAATTATCCCCCCAAAAAGGACACCAATTTAACAACTATCTACATGTAAGGAAAAACCACCTCCATAAGAACCAAAAATAGGTGAGTACTCACAGTCTCAGTTTTAACTTTCTATTGCTGAAAGAGGCATAGAAGAGATAGGAAAAACAGTCTTAAATCACTGATGCTACCCCTTCTCCATGCCCTAGTGTGGCACTGTGGTGCTGACAGTGTTTCCGTGCGCAAGAGATAAGAGACCATGTCAAGTGTATGTCATTTAACTCAGTGTTGCACCATTATAACAGGAAGCATAACTGGAACAAACTCAGCTGATGCCTGTCCATGAAGGGAGCATTTAAATCAGTCCTAGCAAGAGGAAAATGTCTGATCCCAGTGGTGGGAACTTCAGTTCATGCTAGCCTTGCCACGGAGGGCTAAAGTGCTCTGGGGCCTAAATTAAGCTGGAAAGGCAGTCTAGACCACAAAGATTGCAATTCCTAGGCATGTCCTAGTGCTGAAATGGGCCCAGAGACTTGAGGGGCCATGCAAACTACTGGGATGTCAGCCTGGGTAGCTAAGAGAGTTCTGGAATTACCCCTTCACTAATTCCAGGTTGCACAGCTCCAAGCTCCAAAAAGTACATCTTTCTTCTGCTTAAAGAGAGGAGAGGCAAGAGTGAGAAGAACATTCCCACTTTCTATTGCATCTTGCATACCAGCTCAGCTACTGCAGAATAGGGTACTGGTAAGAGTCTTGAGGTCTGCTTTCTAGGCCCTAAATCTGGAATGACATTTCTACATATCTTAGACCAGGAGGGAACATGCTGCCTTTAAGGGGAGCATGCAGTCTTGGAAGAATTTATCACCTGCTATCTGAAGAGCCCTTGACACCTGAAAAACCAACAATGATATTTAAGTACCATATCAAGGGCCTTGGTTGAGCCTCTGAGGTTTACTGGCTTTGGGTGAGAATCAGCACATTTCCAGTTGTGGTGGCTATGAGGCAAGACTCCTTCTGCTTGAGAGAAGTGAAGAGAAAGTAAAGAGAAATTTGTCTTCGCCTTAGAGACCACCTTGGGTGCAAGAATGTAGAGGAGCAAAAGGGCTCTTGGGGTCCTCAATTCCAGGGCTTGGCTCTTAGATGGCATTTCTGGACCTGTCCTGGGTCAAAAGGGACCTGCCTTCCCTGAAAAGTGAGTCTCAGGCCAGGCAGCAATCACCACAACTAACAGAAGTGCCTCTGGGCCTTAAGAGAATATCAGCAGTAGTCTGACAATACTCCCTGTGAGCCTGTGATGGCAGTGGCCACAGGATGATGCTTCTCTGCTTTTGGAAAGGAGAAAGACAGTGCAAAAGAATACATCTTGTGGTTTCAGTGCAAGGTGAGCTGTAGTACATTAGAACAACAGGTAGACTTCTAAGGATTTTGACTCAGGTAACTGGCTCTGGCATGTCTGGTCATACCCAGGGTCTGGGGCCACTCACTGCCTTTAATGGAAGGATACAGACTTGGCTGGCTTTGTCACCTACTGATTGTATAGACCCAGGGCCTTGAGCAAACATAGGCAGTAGGCAGGGAGTAGTTACAGCAGGCCTTGGACAAGACCCGTTGCTGGGCTGGATTCAGAGCTGATCCAGTACAGTCCTAGTGGTGGTGGCCACAAGAATGCTTGTGTCACTCTGTCTCAATCTCCAGGTGGCTCAGAACAGAGGGAGAAATATTCCATTTGTTTTGGAGAAAGTAAGGGAAGAGAACAAGAGTCTCTACCTGGTTATCCAGAGAATTCTTCCAGACCGCATCTAAGACAATCAAGGCAGTACTTCTCTATGAATCTGCAAGAACCACAGTGTAACTCGGCTTGGGGTGCCCCCTAAAGCAGATACAGCTTAGAGCACAACACCAAAGTACTTTGAATATCTGGAATGCCTTTTAAGGAAGAACAAGTACAAAGATGCCCAGACTGTGAAAAATACAATGGACACCTATCTATTTAATGTCCAGACACAGAAGACTCTCTACAAGTATCAAGACTACCTGGGAAAACATCACCAAACCACAGGAACTAAATAAAGCAGCAGGTAAAAATCCTAGTGAAAGAGAGATATATCACCCTTTAGACAGAGAATTCAAAATATCTGTGTTAGGGAAACTCAAAACATTCAAAATAACATAGAGAAGGAATTCAGAATTCTATCAGATAAATTTAACAAAGAAATTGAAATAATTAAAAAGAAACCACCAGGTGCGGTGGCTCACGCCTGTAATCCCAGCACTTTGGGAGGCCGAGGCGGGTGGATCACAAGGTCAGGAGATCGAGACCAACCTGGCCAACATGGTGAAACCCCATCTCTACTAAAAATACAAAAATTAGCTGAGCATGGAGGCATGCGCCTGTAATCCCAGCTACTCGGGAGGCTGAGGCAGGAAAATTGCTTGAACCCGCGAGGCAGAGGTTGCAGTGAGCTGAGATCACGCCATTGCACTCCAGCCTGGGTGACAGGGCGAGACTCCATCTCAAAAAAAAAAAAAAAAAGAAACAAATTCTGGAGCTGAAAAGTGCAATTGGCAGACTGAAGCATGCATCAGAGTGTTTTAACAGCAGAATGGATCAAGCAGAAGAAAGAATTAGTGTGCTTACAGACAGGCTATTAGAAAATGCACAGTCAGAGGAGACAAAAGGAAAAAAATAAAACACAAGGAAGCACATCTTCAGTATCTAGAAAATATCTCCCAAAGGGAAGATTTAGGAGATATTGGCCTTCAAGATGAGGTAGAGAAAGAGATAAAATTAGTAAGAATATTTAAAAAGATGATAACAGAGTACTCCTCAAACCTAGAAAAAGATCAATATCCAAGTACAAGAAGGTTATAGAACACCAAGCAGATTAAACACAAAGAAGACAAACTCAAGACCTTTGCTGTTCAAACACCTAAAAGTCAAGAAAAAAGAAAAAATCCTAAAAGCAGCAACAGAAAAGAAACAAATAACATACAATGGGCCTCCAATACAGCTGCCAGCTGACTTTTCAGTAGAAATCTTACAGGACAGGAGAGAGTGGCATGACATATTTAACGTGCTGAAGAAAATTTTTTTTTTTAACCCTGGAATAGTGTATCTGGTGAAAAATCATTCAAACATAAAGGAGAAATAATGACACAAATAAAGTACAATGAGATATAAATAGAAACAACAAAAAGTTAAAAAGCAGAAGGACAAAGTTAAGGAATGGAGTTTGTATTAATTTTTTTGGACTTGTTTGTTCATTTATTTATTTATGCTAACAGCATTTTTATCACTTTAAAATAATGGGTTATAAAATAATATTTTCTAGTCTCACGGTAAACTAAAACCAGAAAACATACTATGGTTACACAACAAATAAAAAGGGGGGAAAAAAGCATATCACCAGAGAAAATCACCTTTATTAAAATAAGACAGAGAGGAAAGAAAGAAGAAAGAAGTGACCACAAAACAACCAGAAAACAAACAACAAAATGGCAAAAGTAAGTCGTTAATCAACAGTAACATTGAATGTAAATGAACTAAACTTTCCAAACAAAAGACATAGAGTGGCTGAATAATTTAAAAAAAGCAAGACCAAATGATCTGTTGCCTACAAGAAGCACACTTTACCTATAGAGACACACATAGACTGAAAATTAGCGGATGAAAAAAGATATTCCATGGCAATGGAAACCAAAAAAGAGCAGGAGTGACTATACTTATATCAGACAAAATAGATTTCAAGACAAAAAAAGAGAGAGAGAGAAAAAGATAGTCACTCTATAATGATAAAGAGGTCAATTCAGCTAGAGGATATAACAATTTGAAATATATATACACCTAACACTGGAGCACCCATATATATAAAGCAATTATTATTAGAGCTAAAGAGAGAGACAGACTCCAATACAATAATAACTGAAGACTTCAACACTCCACTTTCAGCATTGGAAAAATATTCCAGACAGAAAATCAACAAAGAAACATTAAACTTAATATGCACTACAGACCAAAGGGTCTAAAGGTATTTACAGAACATTTTGTCCAATGGCTAAAGAAAATATATTCTTTTCCTTAGCACATAGATTATTCTCAAATATAGATGATATGTTAGTTGACAAAGGTCTTAAAACATTTTAAAAATTTAAAGTAATAAAAAGAATGTTTACTGATCACAATGGAATAAAACCAGAAATCAATAACAAGAGAAATTTTGGAAAGCATACAACCACATGGAAATTTAACGATATGCTCCTGAATAACCAGTGGTTCCATAAACAAATTAACAGGGAAATTGAAAAATTTATGTAAACAAAGGATAAAGAAAATACAACATAATAAAGACTATGGGATACAGCAAAAGCAGTAGAAAGTGGGAAGTTTATAGCTCTAAGTGCCTACATTGAATAATAATAAAAACTTCAAATAAGTAACCTGACAGTGCATTTTAAAGAACTAGAAAAAGTAAGAGCAAACAAAATGCAAAATTTGTAGAAGAAAAGAAATAATAAATATAATAGCAGAAATAAATGGAATTGGAATAAAGAAAATGATGAAAAAAATCAGTAAAATGAAAAAGATGGTTTTTTGAAAAGTTAAACAAAATCGACAAAACATTAGCCAGGCTACCTAAGAAAAAAAGAGAGAAGATCCAAATAAACAAAATCAGAGGTGTAAAAGGAGACATTAAAATTGATACCACAGACATTCATATGATCATTAGTGGCTACTATGAGCAACCATATGCCAATAAATGGAAAAATTAAGAAGAAATTAGCTAATGATTAGATGCACACAACCTACTACTATTGAAGAATGAAGAAATCCAAAACTCGAAAAGACCAATAACAGATAATGAAATCAAAATCTTTATTAAAAAAAATCTCCAGAAAATAAAAGCCTGGGACCTGAAGCCTTCACTGCTATATTCTACCAAATATAAGAATAACTAGTACCAATTCTACTCACATTATTGAGAAAAATAGAGGAGAGTCTACTTCAAAACTCATTCTATGAGGCCAGACTATCCTAATATCAAAAGTAGAGAAAAATACATTAAAAAGCACTAAGAACGCTAAAGGCCAATATTTTTGATGGATATTGTTGCAAAAATCCTCAGTTAAATACCAGTCAACTGAATTCAACAATACATTTAAAAGATCATTCATCATGACACAGTGGGATTCACCCTAGGGATGCAAGGATGGTTCAACATATGAAAATCAGTCAATGTGATACATCATATCAACAGAATGAAGGACAAAGTCCATATGATAATTGCTGCTGGCAAAGCATTTGATAAAATTCAACATGCTTTCAAGATAAAAACTCCAAAAACTGGGTATTGAAGGAGCATACCTCAACATAATAAAAGCTACACACATCAGATCCACTGTTAGTATCATACTGAATGCAAAACAACTGAAGGCCTTTCCTCTAAGATCTGGAACAAGATAAGGATGCCCACTGTCACTGCTGTTACTTGATGTAGTACTGGAAGTCCCAGCTAAAGCTTCGTAATTGGAATGGAAGAAGTCAAAATATCCTTGTTTGCAGATGATATCACCTTATATTTGGACACACCTAGAGAATCCACAAAAAATCTATTAGAAATAATAAACAAGTTCAGTAAAGCTGAAAGATACAAAATCAACATATAAAAATCAGTGGCATTTCTATATGCCCAAAGCACAAAATCTGAAAAAGAAATTTTAAAAGTAATCTTACAATAGCCACAAATAAACGTAAATACCTAGGAATTAACCTAACCAAAGAAGTAAAAGATCTCTATAATGAATCTCTAAAACACTGATGAAAATAATTGAAAAGGACAGCAAGAAATGGAAAGATATTCCACGTTCATTGATTGTAAGAATCAATATTGTTAAGGTTTCCATACTACCCAAAGCAATCTACAGATTAAATGCAATCCCTATCAAAATACCAATGACATTCTTCATAAAAGTAGAAGAAACAATCCTAAAATTTATATGGAACAACAAAAGACCCAGAATACCTAAGGCTATTCCGAGAAAAAACAAACAAACCTGGAGAAATCACATTACCTGACTTCAAATTATACTACAGAGCTATAGTATCCAAACCTTATGGTGCTGGCATAAAAACCGACACATAGACCAATGGAACCAAATGGAGAAACCAGAAACACATCCACAAACCTACAGTGAAATCATTTTTGACAAAGGTGCCAAGAATATATACTGGGAACAACACAGTCTCTTCAGTAAATGGTGCTGGGAAAACTGGATATCCATATGCAGAAGAATGAAACTAGACCCTATCTCTCGTCATATACAAAAATCAAAAAAATATGGATTGAAGACTTAAATATAAGACATGAAACTAATACAATAAAACATTGGGGAAAATCCCCAGGATTTTCGTCTGGTCAAAAATTTCTTGAGCAATGCCCTACAAGTACAGACGACCAAAGCAAAAATGAACAAATGGACTCACATCAAGTTAAAAATCTTCTGCACGATGGGGAAACAATCAACAAATTGAAGAGAGAATTCACATAATGGGGAATATATTTGCAAATTAGCCAATTTATGAGGGATTAATAACCAGAATATTTAAAGAGCTCAAACAACACTATAGGAACAAACCTAATAATGAAAAAATGGACAAAAGATTTGAATGAACATTTCTCAAAAGAAGACATAGAAATAGTAAACAGGCATATGAAAATGTGCTCAACATCACTGATCATCAGAGAAATGCAAATCAAAACTACAATGACACATCATTTCATCTCAGTTAAAATGGCTTCTATACCAAAGACAGGCAATAACAAATGCTGGCGAGGATGTGAAGAAAGGGGAACCTCTGTACACTGTTGGTGGGAAAGTAAATTAGTAAAACCACTACGGAAAATTATTCTTTGGTTCCTCAGGAAACCAAAAAATATAGCTACCATATGATCTAGCAATCCCACTGCTGAGTATATAGTCACAATAAAGAAAATTAGTATATCAAAAAGATAACTGCACTCCCATGTTTTTTGCAGTGCTGTTTACAATAGCCAGAATACGTAAGTAAACTAAGTGTCCATCAACAGATGAACGGATAAGAAAAATCTGGTAGTCCTTGCCTAGTCCTTCCTTCAGCATTAACCCCTAATGTGTTGTCAATTCCTGATGATATTATTCAAGGAACCAAATTATATTGAGCCAGCCACATTGTTAGGAATTAGGGATAACATAAAATTAAGTCATAAATCTTGTTCATAAGAAGTGTTGCCTTGTCATAGAGGTATTCATGAGAACAGACAACTTTAATAAAATAATGCTTTTTATAGATAGAATGTGCCCTGCAGCCTACGGAAGGCTCAAGTAGTGTTGCCTAACCCATTCTAGGGAATAAATGCAAGGTAGTTAGCCAGAGGAGATTATCACACTTTGTCCTAAAGAAAGAGAATGAATAAACTACGCTAAAACTTAGGGCAATGGCATTCAAAGAGGAAGAAATATTATAAGCAAAAGAATATTGGCAAAATGGGGTTGTGATTGGGGATATATAAGGTTAACCTTTGTTCAGATATTCAGTGAGATATTGGTAATCAAGAAGTATTTCTTGAAGCATAGTTAAGGACAAGGTCATAGAAATTGTTTATACAGAGTAAAATATTTGGCCTTTATCCTGAGGGACATAAATATTCACTGACACCAAATGCACAGGCAACAAAAGCAAAAATAAACAAATAGGATTGCATCAAACTAAAAAGCTTCTGTACATTCAAGTAAACAATCAACAGAGTAAAAAGGCACCTACAGAGTAGGAGAGAATATTTGCAATCCATACAGTTAATTAGGGGTTGATATCAAAAATATATTTAAAAAAACATGCAACTCAAAATGGCAAAAAACACACACAACTAACCTGATTTTAAAATGGGAAAAGTACTTGCATAGACATTTTTAAATAAGATACACAAACAGTCCACAGGTATATGAAAAGGTGCTCAACTTCCCAGTTATCAGTGAAGCATGAAGTCAAAATCACAATAAAATATCTCTTTAAGTGTGGTAGGATGAACATTATTAAAAAAAGAAAAATAAAAAGAACACATTTGGGTGAGGATGTGGAAAAAAACAGAGCCCTTGTACACTCCTGGTGCAAATGTAAATTGGCACTGACATTACAGAAAACAATATCGTGGAGTCTCAGAAAAATAAAAATAAAACTGCCACATTATTCAGCAATCTTTTTAGGTATATATGCCAAAGAAATAAAGTTAGTATTTTGAAGACATATTTGAACTCTCATGTTCATTGTAAAATTATTTACAATAGCCAAGATATGAAAACAACTTGAGTCCCTTAAAAATGGATAAAGAAAATCTGGTGTATATACACAGAAGAATATTATTCAGTCTTAAAAATTAGAAAATCCTGCCATTTGTGATGACATGAATGAACCTGGAGGGCATTATGCTAAATGGAATAAGCCAGATGCAGAAAGACGTATACTTATACATATACCTGATCTCACTTATATGTGGAATCTGAAAATGTCAAATTCATAGAAATAGATTGTATAATGGTGGTTATCAGTGGTTGGGGTAGGGGGATATGAAAATATATTGTTCAAGGAAAATAAAGTTTCAGTTACGCAAGATTAATAAGCATTGAAACCTAAGGTACAACATGTGTCTATAATTAACTATATTTTATTTTATACTTGAAATTTCCTAAGAGGGTAGGTATTTAATGTTCTCACTACACAACAATAAATGGTAAGTATGTGAGATGATGAACATGTTAATTAGCTTGATTGTGGTGGATATTTCACAGTGCATACATATAACAAATCATCAAGTTTTACAACTTATATATAATTTTTAACTATCAACTATACTTACAAACAGTTGGGGAAAAATAATCCAAATGAGAGAGAAATCTGAGGAATAGTTTAAAAAGATGTAGAAGTTGTGCAAACTTAAGAAACACCAAAGAGGTTAAATTATCAGGTAAAAATTACAGTTTGAATATAGAATATGAGTGTAACTCCTAGGTTTCTAGAATGAGTAACCAAGGAGAATGATATATCACAATATGAGATAAGGTATATAGAGTAAGGAGCTTGTTTGTTGAGTATAGCATATGAGTTCCATAAATAACATATTTAAGTATGAGTGCTTATTGGAAATTTTGAATAGAAATGCTAGATAGAAAGTTGGCTATATAAGTATGGTACCAAGAAGAAATATCTGCATGAGAAATACAGGTTTTCAAGTCATCTATATGTAGGTGGCTATCAAATCTATGAGGGTAAATGAGATAATACAGGGAAGAGCATATAAGGTAAAATGATCTGAACAGAAGACAGAACCCTGGAAAACACCAATATTTAAGAGATTGGACTAAGAAGTGGAGCCCAGGAAGAAGGCAGGTAAAAAAGGACAGTGAGCTACAGGAAAGCCAGGAAAATAGTAATAAAGTAGTTAATAACATGAAATTTCTTTTAAGAGAAGTATTACAGATAATAAATCTATATGCATATTACCATACTAAAAGCCCCAAAAAAGAATGAATGTGGAGAATTGTATTTAAATTTGTTTGACACTGACTTGGAAAATGCAGATGTACAAAATTAAGTATTAATTCATGCTTTATTTATATTAGAAACATGATATTTGTTATTGTCCCATCAACTCTTTCTCAGAGGAACAATATTAAGCAATACAGTGGTTCTCTTGCATAATTTTGTCTCCAAGGAGACATTTCACATTGTATCTAGACATTTTTCTATTTCACAGCTGAGATAAGGCTGCTACTGACACATATGTAGAACAGAATAATGGTTCCAAAATAAACTACATATGTATAGTCAAATGAATTTCTACAAGAGTGCCAAGACCACTGAATGGGGAAAAGAATAGTCTTTTACAAGCTGGTGCTGGAAAAACTATATATATCCACATGCAAAAATGAATTTAAATCCAACTTTGCACCATATACAAAAATTAACTCATAATGGATGAAAGACCTACATGAAAAAGCTAAAAGTATAAAACTATTAGAAGAAAACATAAGTGTAAATACGTATGACCTTGGATTAGGCAAGTTTTTAAAGATATGATGCCACAAACAAAGACTATAAAACAAAAACAGATAAATTTGACTTCCTCAAAATTAAAAAATTTGTGTATCAAAGGATATTATTTAAAAAGTAAAGATACATCCTACAGATAACATTCTGGTATCCAATATACAGAACTTGTATCCAATATACAGAACAATATACAGTTCCAATATACAGAACTTATACAAGGCACTGTTAAAAATATAAAAAATTTAAATGGTCACAGAATTCAAATGGACATTTTCCTCAAAATGATACATAAATGGCCTGTAAGCACATAAAAGTTGCTCAACATCATTAGTCATTAGGAAATAAAAATAAGAACCACAAGGAGATACTACTTTTTACTCACTAGAATGACTATGGTAATTATAAGTGTGTGTACATAGTGTTGATTTTAATACACTCATATATATAGTTACATACTCAAATATCTAGCTGTCTGCCTATGCTCTTGATTATGTTGGCAGTTACATAGATATATAAATTTAAAAAAAGAAATAAACGTTCTAAGTACTTCTCCCGCCTTTTACTGGATAATCTTTTGTCCTCTTTGGGTTGAACACACACTCTGCTCAGTAGATCTGTTTAAAAAGATCTTGTGAAAACAGTAAGAAAGAAGCATCTTAGTGTCTCTCATGCATACAATCTTCTTGGACCCTAACACGCTGTTTTCCTACCATATATCTTACTTGAACTGCTAGCTTAGCTTTGAGTGGCTCTCCAGTGCCAGGTTTATCACTCAAAAACTTAAGATGTCATTCACTTGATAAACTGATGCTACCACTTCACAATAGCTCAAGGGGGGGTGAATGTGGGATGGAACTTTTTCTTTCCCTTTGTGAACTTTCGCTCTCCATGAAATTAACACAACAGACTAAGGGGTGTTGTGGGAATTTATTTACTTAATAGTTAGGACACCTCAAATGGAATTATAATGTAGGAGTGGCAAGGATTAAAGTTATAACAAATGTAGACTCTAACTTGATTTAGGCCAAACATAAGGAGATTCCCAAGGACAATACCCAAACTTCTGACGTGGCTTTTCCACCCTTAGATCTATCTGCATCTATTCATACATTACTTTTTAAAAGTCTATCTGCTGAAAACCTTTGTACCTTTTTTCTTCATAACACTCCATTCCTTTTCACAGCATCAGCTCAAAATCAAGAATCTCATCATGTAATCAGATCCAAGTGAGGATGAGGCATCTCATAGCCCATTGAATACATCTCCTTTAAGTGCTTATCCTCTAAGCCTATCAAGCTCTGAAGTAGATAAATTATCTAACCCCCTCATAATCAACCTACAGTAGTGAGAAAGGCATAGTATAACCGTTACTAATGCTCTGTTCAAAATGGGGAGGTGAGGAAGTAAGAGGCACACAGGTGTTTCTGGACTGCAGAACTTTTAAAATATAGCTGTGGACAGATTTGTATGTCTGGAAATTAACTCTGTAACTCATATCTAAACCCTCTGGACTCTGACTCTGTGAGAGTCATGTTTCTTTTTCATAAAAAGTTAGCACATGTTTGCAGTTTAGTTATTTTATTTTCTCAGACTGCTTCCTTCAAGTAGAATTTGTGATGTGATAAGTATTTCTTCCATTTTTTTACAGTCTTTGTCTCTTTCAGGCCAGGTTAGAGGTGTTTATGTCAATATAATTATCTTAATAACTTTGTGAGTCTCCTGCGAATGCTATTGGGGTACACTCCATTAGATAAAAAGCAACATCTACAAAATCTCTTATATGAAAGTCCTTTTCTACTTTGGGTTTATTCTAGAACTCCAGAATTCATAGTCTTTAAGTATTTAAAGGATATTTTACCTGACTGATTAATTATAGATATTTAGAATATGTTTCCTTGCTAGTGCCCTGAATTTGATCTTTGCTTGGAAGCCATTTCTTATTTTTCACAGCTTGTTAAGGTTGAGAATATTCCAAACTACTAAGTCCCAGATTCTTCATGTTTAATAGTATGTCCTTGAGTTTATCTTTCTCCTCTAAGATTTTACTCTTAGCAGCAAGAAGAAACAAAGCTCTAGTCTGGAAACCTTAGCTAGATCATCCAGCTTATTAGCTATATTTTCTACTTTACAAATAGAAACAAGGACACAGTTTTGCTAAACTATTTCCCCTATGAACAACAATCACCTTTCTTCCAGTTTCCAACAAGATTTTCCATGCTTTCATTTAAATCCTCACTAGTAGCTTCCTCGCTTTCTAAAATTCTACCTACAGTCTGATTGAAGCAATTTAGGCTTTCACTAATGCTTTTCTTAAAATTCTTCCAGTTCCAGATAGTTTATTTCTCCAAAACCACTCATATATTTCAATTGTGTGTTACAGAAGCACCCTGTTCCAAGTTACCAAAATCTGTATTAGTTATCTGTTGCTGTGTAACAAATTATCTCAAAATTAGCAGCTGAAGACAATAAACATTTCTCACACCACTCAATTTCTGGGGATCAATAATGTAGAAGAAGCTTAGCTAGGAGATTCTGGCTCATGATCTTTCATGATATGGCAGTCAAGTAGTCTACCAGGTCTATATAGGCCATCTGAAGGCTTAGGTGTGGCTGGAGAATCCACTTCTAAGCCTATGACATGGATATTTAAAAAATTATTTGGTTCCTCAAGACAGATCTTTTCATGCAATTGTTCACTACACGGTATCTGAGTTCCTTCAGAAAGAGATGTGAGAGAGACAGACACACACAAATACACACACACAAATACACACACACACACACACACACACACACGGTGGGTGGGGAGAGAAAGAGAGAGAGAGAATTGGAAAGTGCGACCACGATGGAAGCAACAGTGTCTATAACACAGTCTCAGAAGTTACATACCATCACACAGACCAACCCTGGGACAGCACCTAAGAGTACAGAAGGGCATGAATACCGAGACGCAGGGGTCACTGAGAGCCTATTTGTTATCTAGCTGCTATAAGCACTAACCACAATTTTTATATTTTCTGTTCAGCTTTTCATTATTAGAAGAGGGATTCCAATTCCTCTTACATTATTATTATTATTTATTCAAGCCATTTCACAAGTGCTTGCTATATTTTCAACCTTATTTCCCATTCTACCTTTCATGCAATGAAATTGAGAATTAGTGTAATATATTGAAATGAGGGTAGACTGCAGCTAAACAGGCCTGTGTTGAAAATCTGACTCCATAATAAATAAGCTTGGTGATCATTAGCGTGTTATTTCAACTTTGATATTGAGTTTCAATATTTTAGTCTTTAATATGGGAATAATAATACCTCTTCCTCACCAAGCTGTGTAAGGATTAAATAAATGTTAATGTATATAAAAGACGGGGCTGAGTGCCACGTACATAATAGCTCCGTAAATCTGAGCTCTCATTTTTTCTATATATACTCCATGCTTTGTGAACTCCTTGCTTTTCCCACAGTTCATTCTGCCAGAAATAAACCTAGTATTCAAGGTCAAGTTCAAATTTTCTTCTCTGCTTCCTCAAAACCCTGCTGGAGGTTACTGTTCCTTCTGAACTCTCATAGTGCATCATCTATAAAGTTATTATGGCATATACACAATTTTCTACTGCACATTAATGGCTACTTGTGTGCATATACAATATTCTCAAACAGCTTGTAAATGCTCTAAAATTAGATTCTTTTGCCAATTAATCTTTTATCTTTCACAGTACCATGCATTTATTAGGAACTCAATAACTCATCCAGGAATAAAGAGAACTGTCAAAAAATGAACCTAAACTCTTCAAATCAATCTTTACTATCTTTTTCAGATTATCTCTTTGGTAAACTGAAAATATATGAAATTAAAAATACTGACTTTATCACAGCTAGCAGGAATAAAAGAAAAATACTGACTTTAGAATTACCCTCTTGACCCCTTTTCTACGATCTACTCCTAGGGCTCTGCTAATTTTAACTTTTACAAATATTTGGGCACATGTCAGGAGACCATAGGCTAAAGTCACACTTTTCTCAAGAAGAATGTAGATTCGACAATTTAGAATCCCTAAGTTTCTCTCTTTCTAACTATGTAAACCTCCAGCATTGCATAAACTAGTTTTTCTTTTTTTTTTTAATAGAATCCTGATGCTTTTGTACCTATATGTGTCACCTTCACTGTACATATTCAGGTGTAGTCAATTCTCAAGTAAAGGCTAGTAAATCATTTTATTTTGAGAGCTAACACCTGCACTTTCTGCTTTATTTCTTGCTTAGCAAAATCTTCTTTTTATAGTTAACAGACTTTGTTTTATATGACTGCTTTATTGACCACTCATACTATTTTTTGATCACATGAAATGTGGAAGTGCTTGAAAGGGGAAACATGTAAACATGGCTCCACTCAAGGAAAGCTTTAATCAGGTGCGGGTGAGCTTAGGCTGAAGCTAACAGAAAGAGCTTTACCAACATGTAGTAAAGAGAAATACATACAGATCAACTTTAGGAAAGTAGATGACCTTTCAAGATTTCCTAAACCATGTCTTCATTCTACAGAGTCATTTCTTTAATGAATGTAAATTCCAAATCATGTAGTAATGGAAGAATTAATAATCTGATAAATATGTTTTACAATAGGAAATAATTAGAAAGAGGAGAACGGGCAAAAAGGCAATAACTTTATTTATTAAGCCAAGACATCATTGGGATTTAAATTAAGCCACTTTAAAACAATGTTTTCTGTTCCTAGATGCTCCCGAAATTTTCATGTGCACATTTGCTCATGAAGATTTGACACAATCATATGCATAGGTGAGGAAAGTGGTGAATATGTTGTTTAGTGGATACAGTCTAGTGAATACTTACAAAAAAACAAAGTATTTATTTCACAGACTATTGGAACTAAAAGAAACCATAAAAGCCATTCAGACCAACCACTAACTTTACACTTAGAAAAACTAAACACTAGAGATCAACAACTTTCCAGTAAGTCCGTGACAGAGCAGAGTTCAAAACTTTCCTGTCCATCAAACTATGCTGAGTGCTCTATCTTTACTTTGTAAACTGCCTTCTATTGGATTTTTATTTTTCTTTATCCTATTTATACTACCATGGTTTGGAAGTTACATGCTCTATTTCTATTCATAGCATGTATCCTTAACTTTTCAGCATGCCTAATTGACTTAATAAAGTCCAAAGTTAACCAATATCCCTCTCCTCTGGAACAATAGAATGCTGAGGCAAGAAATGTTGGTTGTCTAGACAACAGGTATTCTCTTCTCTTTTCCGTGCTAACAGACCACAGTTTTAAATATTGAGAAACAATACCTTCAAAGAAGGTGAATCTATTATTAGATGGTAAATCATAATTGGCCTTAGTCAAAACAAGAAAATCATAGTCCCTTCTGCCAGTAATTGGTTATGGTTAATGACATATGTGTGCCATTTGTGGCCAATGGAATATAAATAGAGGCCTGCTCTCAAGCTAATTGAAAAGATGTCCCAAGCTGATTTAAAAAATAGACATTTAGGCCGGGCGCGGTGGCTCATGCCTGTAATCCCAGCACTTTGGGAGGCCGAGGCAGGTGCATCACTTGAGGTCAGGAATTCGAGACCAGCCTGGCCAACATAGTGAAAACCCATCTCTACTAAAAAAAAAAAATACAAAAATTCAAAAATTAGCCAGGTGTGGTGGTGCTCACCTGTAATCCCAGCTACTCGGGATACTGAGGCAGGAGAATCCCTTGAACTCAGGAGGCGGAGGTTGCAGTGAGTCAAGATTACACTACTGCACTCCAGCCTGGGCGACAGAGTGAGACTCTGTCTCAAAAAAAGAAAAAAGAAAAAAGAAAAGGAAATAGACATTTAACAGAAGACGTTTTTCACCATCTTCTTTCTGCTTTTCAATGTGTTTGTGTGAGAACATGGTACTTGAGTGGCTGAGGTTATCTTCTAACCATGAGGGGAGATATCAGAAACTCATGATAGAAAACACAGCAGAATAAGGATGAGAGCTTGTGTCCTCAATGACATAATTGAGCTGGTGCACCAATCTATATACTGTTGACTTCTGGACTTCTTTCTATTAACTGAAAAAAATTGTATGTATTTATGATGGATGACATGATGTTTTGAAATATGTTTATATTACAAAATAGTTAAATTGAGCTAATTAACATATATATTGTCTCACATGCTTAGTGTGCGTGCATGTTGAGAACACTTGAAATCTTTTCTCAGAGATTTTCAAGTATAGAATACATTATTATTAGGTGTAGTCACCATTGGACATCATAATATGCAAAATAAGTATTATTTCTAATTGTTTAAGATGCTGTTAATAGAGTAGTTATTTCCAACTGAAAACATAAATTATTTGAATCTTTAAGTCACCCTTATGTTCTACATATTATTTTTATACAATATTTTAGTTACTTGCCATATTAATGCTTTATAGAGTCAATGCTTATTTAGATTCACAAATATGATAACTTTTTGTTGACCATTCTTTGAATCTCATTGTTTTCAGGCTTCAATTTTCCAATTCATAACGTTCATCCTTTAAAATTTATTTCAGTGATAATTTGTTAATTGCAAATTCTCTAACACCTTAGCTGAAAAAGTATTTATTTTTCCACCACTAATGGATTATGCTTTATATATGTATAGAATTCCATATCAACAGTTATTTTATTCTGCAATTGGAAGATACTATTCTATTGTCATGTGGCTGAAAATGTTGTTGATGAGAATTGACTGTTAGTCTAATTATCATACCTTGGTTTGAATTTGTATTTTGATTATTTTCTAGACTTTGATATTTTCTAGTTTCACTTTAGTATATGTAGATGTGAGTTTATTTTTATTTAATCCTGTATGAAAATTCTTGTACATTCTGAATCCAAGAGTTCATATTTTTTAATTATGGAAAGTTCTCAAGTACAATATTCTCAAATATTAACAATATTTGAGGCACTAATGAACATATGTAAGACATTCTTCTTTTTTTTTTTTTTTATTTTAAAATCTCTGCCCCAAAACTGCAATCTCTTTAAACTTCTGTACTTTATTCTGGATACTTTCTTCAGAATACTTTTAATTTTTATTATTTATCACTTCATCTTCTGTTAACTTCCTGTTTTAAGAAAAATGTTCACTGCAGCACTACTCATAATAGCAAACACATGGAATCCACACAAATGCCCATCAATGATAGACTGAATAAAGAAAATGTGATACATATACACCATGGAATACTACGCAGCCATACAAAGGAATGAGATCATGTCCTTTGCAGGGACATGGATGGAGCTAGAAGCCATTATCCTCAGCAAACTAATGCAGGAACAGAAAACGAAACACTACATGTTCTCACTTATAATGTTTTTAATGTTATCTCTTAAAAACATGATGTAACCAAATAACAAAAATAACTAAAAATTTTAAAATTATTTAAAATTATATATAATTTTTGAACCAATGAAAACGCTGGCTCTTGTTTCCAACTCGAAGCTTGGATCTTACTGTCACACTCACATTGTTCACCTCACTTTATCTGTGGGAGACGTACAGTCAATATATCAGAAATTCAAACAGGTTGGAGCTTGTACTACAGTGAAGAGACGAGGTCTCAGGGGTGCAGTGCGGTCCAAATATTTGCAGAAAAGTCCACCAGGTTTTCTGGTGTGAGGGGAACAAATTTTAGTAACATAGTCTCAGGGTGACAGCAGAATATTTAATCACCTACAGGCCTGTCTTCCCATCCCAGCCCCATGGACAATCTTTCCACTCAGAAGCCAAATGTCAGCAACTTCTGTATTCTGAGCGCCTCAGTGTACCTACTACTGCAATAAAAAATTATATTTTTCATCTTAGTTCTGGTTTTGTGTATATTAGAGGATGAAGAAAATGAGTTATTCGTTGACATTTTTGAAAGCCAGTGTTTAAGGCATGGAAGAAAGAAGGTACAAAGGTAATATTGTTGAGACTTAAGTATAAAAGCTGTTGTCTTTGATTTGGAAATATCACTCTGAAATCTTGAAATATTGTGTCTTAAAAAATACCTATTTACTGGAACTTTCTACTGAAGAGATCTAGAAACAAAATGATAATTTACAGTAGAAATGAGCATACCTAGCATCCAAATAGTAGTCTCTAAATAATAGTTAAACTGAAAGAAACCAGAGATCCTTGAATAAATCACTTATTTGAAGTTAGAGGCAGGAAATGTACTACATGAACCTAATACATCTTATATCAGAAATAAATAAAAGCTAGGAAAGACTAATAGAATAATACCAAAGGACTCAGGACCCAACTTGAATGGGATTCCAATGGCCAAAGATGAGAGAATTTGAGCATCAGCAAGGATAATAACTATAGTGGATTCAAACGTAACAAATATGTTTAAATCAATTTCATGGAATTTCATAATTTATGACATTGGGAAGATAGTAGGGAAGTAACACATTATTATAAAAACTGAAAAATAAAAGGAAATATTTAAGAACGTGCCCTACTTTTCCTGTATTAATTACACTTCAGTGTCTTAGGAGAATTGCTCTATTCTAGCACCCTGAGGACAGTGCATCCATCTACATAGGTCACGTAGGCAGGTCTAAACTACTTCAGGTCTAAGTCTCGATTGCATATCCTGTGATACTCCTGGAACATGGGAAGATAGATAATCTTCTAAGGAGCTTTCACAGGCCATTTCTGACCCCTCCCCCATCCAATTCAAAGAAACTGTCATGACACAGCTAGTTTCACATCACATTCCATGTTCTGCTACAGTATTCCCCTAATTAGGGTAGACTTGCAGGTTATAAAGCTCATTCACTGCAGCATGAAATTGACTTCCTAGCAGCAAAATGTTGCATCACTTGTGTTATCACCTGGCCCTGTCTGTTTCATGGCACGTAGGATGTGAGAAGGGGATGACATTGCTGATCTTGCTTTGCTGTGTATGTAATAGAGTGTCTGAATCTATAAAGGGATCATTGTTTCTTTAGCAGCCAAATCTATCAGCCTGTTTGACGAGGGTCACCAAGTAAATGATGAGAGGAAGTTTGTTTTTCTAAATATCATGCCAGTTTATAAATGTTTGAAGAATAAAAATAATAGAATATCAACAATATAAAACCCTTGATAAAATAATGAATTTAGGCAGTATCATGAATGACTGCTTATCTCATTAAAAGAGGGAACCAAAGATTATAAATTATTTGATAGAATTACAAAGCTCCACCTGATATGCTTATGCTTTGTGTCCCCACCCAAATCTCATCTGAAATTGTAGTTCCCATAATCCCCATAATCCTCACTTGTCAAGGGAGAAACCAGGTGGAGGTAACTGAATCATGGGGGCAGTTTCTCCTGTGCTGTTCTCATGACAGTGAGTGAGTTCTCACAAGATCTGATAGTTTTATAAGGGGCTCTTCCCCCTTCGCTCCGTATTTTTCCTTCTTGCCGCCTTCTGAGGAAGCTGCCTTGCTTCCCCTTTGCCTTCCATCATGATTGTAAGTTTCCTGAGGACTCCCCAGCCATGCTGAACTGTGAGTCAATTAAACCTCTTGCATTTATAAATTACCCAGTCTCAGGCAGTCCTTTATAGCAGCGTGAAAACAGATTAATACACATGTAGATTGGAAATAAATAAAACTCTCTATTTGCAGATGACATAATCTTGTACATAAATACATTAAGAAATTCACAAACAAAAACTGCTATGAGATACAAAGTTTAAATTCTAATGTAAACTAGGGACCTTCATTAACAATTATGTATCAAAACTAGTACACTGATAGTGTGGTTCAAAAAATATACTACACTAAAACAAAATGTTAATAACAGGAGAAACTCTGTGCATGCAGGAGAGAAGGGGATTATGGAAACTGTACTTTCTGTGAAATTTTTCTGTATCCCTAATATTGCTCTAAAGATAGAGTCTATTAAAACAAAAGATATGAGAGCTAGAAAGCGAGTTCATCACAGTTGTAGGATACAAAATTAATATGCAAAAATCAATTCTATTTGTATACACTTCAAGTGAACACTATGAAAATGAAATTTAAAAAGCAATTTTATTTATAAGATCAAAAGAACAAAACAATTATGAATAATAATATTTTTTAAAGTTCATATAGAAATGAAAGAGAACAAGAGTACCCAAAACAATGTTGAAAAACAACAAGGTGGAGGACTCAAGAGTTCCTAATTACAAAACCTATTACAAAGCTACAGCAATTAAGACAGTATGGTAGTGGAATGAGAGTAGACATATAAATCAATTTAACATGATTAGAAGTCTAGAAATAAACCATTACATTCATGGTCAGTTAGTCTGCCAAGACAATTCAATCAAGAAATAATAGATATTTTAAATAAAGAGTTTGGAATATCTAAATATCCACATGTAAGTTAATTATGTTAAACCTCTATCTCATAAAAGTCACAAAAATTAAATTAAAACAGCTCAAAAACCTAAATACAAGAGCTAAAATGCATAAAGGAAAATTCATAAGGAAAAACTTTTAGAGAAAAAATAGTTTAAACATTTGTGACCTTGATTTAGATAATGGTTTCTTAGACATGATATCAAAAGTACAAGTGATAGAAAAAAATAGATAAATTTGTATCAAAAATAAAAACTTTTATTCCTCAAAGAATATTATTAAGAAAATAAAACCCAGAAATGGGAGAAAATATTTACCATTTATAAATCCTTTAAGGGATATATATTTGTGTATGTATGTATATAAATATACATACATGTATAATTAATACTTCTAAGATTCAATAATAAGAAGACAAATTACCTCATAAAAATACAGTCAAAAGATTTAAAGAGTCATCATACACCCACGGGCAATAAGCATCATTAGCCATGAGAGAACTGCAAATCAAAAGTACAATGAGACACCACTTCACACCCATTACTGTGGCTATAACAAAAGAGTCAGAAATATAATAGCAAGTGTTGGCAATACGTTGGTGAATTTAGAGCCCAAGAGAAACAAAACATATTTTCACACAAATATGTGTATGTCAATGTTTTTAGTAGCACTTTTTATAATAACCAAAGAGTAAAATTACCAGAAGTGCTCAAGTAATGAACAGATAATAAAGTATGGTATATCTGTACAATGAATGGAATATTTTGGCACCACAATGGAATAACGGTACAACTGATAATGGTACAACACAGATGCATCTGGAAAACGTTATACTAAGTGAATGAGGTAAAAAAATATGACATATGACAAATTTATTATTCTATTCATATTACATGTCTAGAATACGCAAATCTGTAGACAAAGAAAGCAGATTGGCTCTTGTTAGGGTCTGAGGGCGGCAAGGCAGGATCAGACATCTTAGGAATGACTGCAAATGGGTATATGGCTTTTCTTTGGAGTAACAAAAATGTTCTAAAATTGTTTGTGATAATAACTTAATAATTCTGTGAATATACTAAAAAGTTATAACTTTAAATAAATGAATTATATAATACGTGAATTATATCTCAATAAAGCTCCTATTTTAAAAAGTCGGGTAAATATTCTGACTTCACTCTAACACTGTAGAGAGTATTGGAAAAATTGAATATGAAAATTAAAATATGGCTCAGTCTTATGTAAGTATAGGAATACATTATTAATAATATATTTGAAAAGAGTCAATCATTGCATTAAAAAGTGATAAATTGTAACTAAATAGGGTTTGTATGAGTAGTTCAAAGATGTCTTAACATTAGCACATTTTAGGTATAAGATACTACATAGTCAGATAAAAAGAGAAAACCCATACAATTCTCTCATAGATTCTGAAAAGGCTTTTGTTATTCTTTGATCTAGGACTTTCAATTTCAATATCATGGTGAATTAATTTAAACTGCTTGAGTACCCTTCTATTAAAAAATCACACTGGATAAAATGAAAAAAAAATTAGAGCATATGTCACAATGGAGAAGAAAAGTGGAAATACACGATGCTATAAATATAATAAGAACTCAAAGCCAGAGAGGTAAGTATATAAGCTGACAGTATAGATGCTCCATAGGGTAAGTGGGGTGGTCTAACTCAAATACAGGTCATAGGGATTAAGGACATTTAGCTTAACATCTACAGACGAAAAATTTACAAGAACTTGTCTTTTGTTAAATAGGAAATTAGAAATTATATCTCACAATATAGCCAAACGTTTAAATATCTTTTCCTTAAATGAAATGTTAAAACTATAAAGTTATCTGTGATAAATGCAAACTTCAAGTATAAGTGCAAAAATCTGAATAGTCTTACTTAACTGAAGAAAATCAAATACACAAAAAATCATTTTTCATGCAAATATTCCAGGCACAAATATTTTCATTGCAAAATTCTGTCAAAAAATTACAAACTACATACTTCCAAACAACTTAAGTGTACAACTCAAGGAACTGGGAAAAAAGAATAAACTAAGCCTAATGTCAGCAGAAGGAAAGAAAAAAATACGTATTAGAGCAGAAATAAACAAAATAGAGTCTCAAAAAACAATAGAAAAATCAATGAAACTATGAGTGGTTCCTTGAAAAGATACATGAAATTGGCAAATATTTACATAGATTAAGATAAAAAGAGAGAACACTCAAATATGTAATCAGAAATGAGAGAGGAGGCATTTCAGTTGATACCACAGAAATGCAAATAATCATAAGAGACAGATATGATTTTAAGTTTCCTGAGGCCTTCCCAGCCATGCAGAACTGTGAGTCAATTAAACCTCTTTCCTTTATCAATTACCCAGTCTCAGGCAGTTCTTTCTAGCAGTATGAAAACAGATTAATACACTACCTGTAAAATAATCTTGCCAAAAAAGTAATTAGAATAGGAGGAAAGGCTAAGCAAGATGTTGGGATAGAAGGCTCTACTGATCGTCTCCCCTGCAATGGCAGTTTAACAACTATCTATCTACTCACAAAAAAACAACTTAATAAGAACTAAAAATTAAGTGAGCTTTCATATTACCTGGTTTTATATTTGTATCGCTGAAAGAGGCAGTGAAGTTAAAAAACAAAAAACAAAAAACAAAACAAAAAAAACAGTCTTGAATCATTGATGCTACCCCTTCCTCATTTCCCCGAAAGTGGCAGTTTGCTGCACATAGCATCTCTAGGCACTGGAGGATGAAGAACACAGCAATTGTGAGGCATTGAACTCAGTGCTGTCCTGTTACAGCACAAAGAAAAAACAAACCAAACTCAGCTGAAACCATCCACAGAAGGAGCATTTAAAGCAGCCCTAGCCAGAGGAGAAACACCTACCCCAGCAGGCTAAACTTAAGTTCCCACAAAAATAAAATCAAAATGGACTAAAGACTTAAATCCAATACATCAAACTATAAAGCTGCTACAAGAATACTTTGGGGAAACTCTCTAGGACATCACTTGGGACAAAACTTTTTTGAGTAATACCCCACAAACTCAGGTACCCAAATAAAACATGGAAAAAAATGAGATGACATCAAGTTAAAAAGCTTCTGTACAACAAACGATACAATCAAAAAAGTTTAGAGACAATCCATAAAATGTGAGAAATTATCTGCAAACTACCCCTCTGAAAATGAATTTATAACTAGAATATATAAAAAGCTCAAAAACTGTATAGTAAAAAAGTCTAAAACTCCAGTCAAAAAATGGCCAAAAGATTTTAATAAATACTTCTCAAAAGAAGACATACAAATGGCAACCAGGCATATGGAAAGGTGCCCAACATCATTGATCATGAGAGAAATGCAAACCAAAACTACAAAGACATATCATATCGCCCCAGTTAAAATGTCTCATATCCAAACCACAGGAAAAAAAATTAAAATTAAAATTAAAAAAATGTTGGACAGGATGTGGAGAAAAGGGGAAACTTCTACATTGTTGGTGGGAATGTAAATTAGTACAACCACTGTGGAGAACAGTTAGAAAGTTCCTCAAAAAAACTACAAATAGAGGTACTATACCATCCAGCAATCCTACTTCTGGGTATATACCCATAAGAAAGAAAACCAGTATATCTAAGAGATATCTGCACTCCTATGTTTGTTGCAGCACTGTTTACAATAGGCATGATTTTTAAGCAAACTAAGTGTCCATCAACAGATAAATGGATAAGGAAAATCTGGTACATATACACAATGGAGTATTATTCAGCCATAAAAAAGAATGAGATTTAGTCATTTGCAACCACATGGACAGAACTGGAGATCATTATGTTAAGTGAAATAAGCCAGGCACAGAAAGACAAACATTGCATGTTCTTACTTATGTTTGGGATCTAAAAATCAAAACAATTGAACTCACGGAGACAGGGAGTAGAAAGATGGTTACCAGAGGCTGGAAAGGGTTGCGGGGCTGGTAGGGTGTTGGGGATGGTTATTGGGTTCAAAGAAATAAAAAGAATGGGCTGGGCACAGTGGCTCATGCCTGTAATCCCAGCACTTTGGGAGGCTGAGGCGGGCGGATCACTTGAGGTCAGGAGTTCCAGACCAGCCTGGCCAACATGGTGAAACCCCGTGTCTACTAAAAATACAAAAAATTAGCCAGGCGTGTGGCAGGCACCTGTAATCCCAGCTACTCGGGAGGCTGAGGCACAAGAATCGCTTGAGGCAGAGGTTGCAGTGAGCTGAGATCATGCCACCGCCCTCCAGCCTGGATGATAGAGTGAGACTCAATCTCAAAAAAAAAAAAAAAAAAAAAAAAAAGAAAGAAATAGAATGGATAAGACCTACTATTCAACAGCACAAGAGGGCGACTAGAGTCAATAATAACTTAACTGTACATTTTAAAATAACTTTAAGAGTATAATTGGATGGTTTGTACCTCAAATGATAAATGCTTGAGGGAATGGGTACCTCATTACCCAAGATATGCTTATTTCACACTGCATGCCTGTATCAAAACATCTCATGCATCCCATAAACATATATACCTCCTATGTACCCACAAAAATTAAAAAATAAACTTCTGAACAGCAAAGAAAACAATAAACAAAGAGATGACCCAATGATATGAGAAAATATTTGCAAACTACCCATCTGAGAAGAGATTAGTAACCAGAATGTATAAGGAGCTCAAACAACTCTATAGGAAAAAGTCAAATAATCCAACCAAAAAATAGGTAAATGATTTGAATATACATTTCTCAACGGAAGACATACAAATAGCAAGCAGGCATCTGAAAAGGTGCTCGACATCACTGGTCATAAGCAAAATGCAAATCAAAACTACAATGAGATACCATCTCACTCCAGTTAAAATGGCTTATGTTCAAAAAACAGGTAATAACAAATGCTGACATGGACCTGGAGAAAAAGAAATCCTCAATACACCTTTGCCAGGAATGTAAATTAGTAAACCACTATGGAGAACAGTTTTGAGGTTCCTTAAACAACTAAAAATAGTGGTACCGTACCATCCAGAAATCGCATTGCTAGGTATATACCCAAAGGAAAGGAAATCAGTATATTTAAGAGATATCTGCACTCTTAGTTTTGTTGCTCCACTGTTCACAATGTCTAAGATTTGGAGGCAACCTAAGTGTCCATCAACAGATGAATAGATTTTTTAAAAATGTGATACTTATTCGGTCATCTTGCCAGCCACTTGTAAACAATGTTGTACTACTCAGCCACAAAAAAGAATGAGATCCAGTCATTTGCAACAACATGGATGGAACTGGAGACCATGTTAAGTGAAATAAGCCAGGCACAGAAAGACAAACATTGCATGTTCTTACTTATTTGTGGTATCTAAAAATCAAAATAATTGAATTCATGGAGATAGGGAGTAGAAGGATGTTACCAGAGACTGGAAAGGGTCGTGGTGGGCTGGTGGGGAGTTGGGGATGGTTAACGGGTACAAAAAAATAGTTAGAAGTAGGCTGGGTGCAGTGGCTCATGCTTGTAATCCTAGCACTTTGGGAGTCCAAGGCGGGTGGATCACCTGAGATCAGGAGCTCCAGACCAGCCTGGCCAACATGGCGAAACCTCGTCTCTACTAAAAATACAAAAAAAAAAAAAAAAATTAGCCATGCATGGTGGCATGCGCCTGTAATCCCAGACACTCGGGAGGCTGAGGCAGGAGAATCACTTGAACCTGGGAGGCAGAGGTTGCGGTGAGCTGAGATAGTGCCATTGCACTCCAGCCTGAGTGACAAGAGTGAAACTCCGTCTTAAAAAAATAAAAAAGTAATGAATAAGACCTACTATTCAACAGCAAAATAGGTTTACTATAGTAAATAATAACTGTACATTTAAAAATAACTAAAAATGTGTAATTAGATTGTATGTAACACAAAGTTTAAATGCCTGAGGGGATGGACACCACATTCTCCATGATGTGATTATTATGCATTTTATGCCTGTATCAAAACACCTCACGTACCCCATAAATGTATACACCTATGTACCCACAAAAATTACAAACTGTAATTTTTATTTTTGAGATGGAGTCCCGCTCTGTTGCCCAGCCTGGAGTGCAGTGGCAAGACCACTCGGCTCACTGCAACCTCCACCTCCTGGGTTCAAGTGATTCTCCTGCCTCAGCCTCCCAAGTAGCTGGGATTACAGGTACACACCACCATGCCCGGCTAATTTTTGTATTTTTAGGAGGGACAGGGTTTCACCATGTTGGCCAGGCTGGTCTCAAACTCCTGACCTCAGGTGATCCACCCACCTCAGCCTTCCAAAGTGCTGGGATTACAGATATGAGCCACCATGCCCAGCCTAAAAACTGTAATTTTTAAAAAATAAAAATTATACAAATAATTTATTTTTAAAAATTAATTAGAATATTTCTCTCTTGAAATTCTCCCTCTTGATGCTCAATTTTCTAACCTATGACTTGTTTCAAAATAACACAGATGGAGGAGGGAAAGAGGGAGGCACAGATTTTATAAAAGGCCTTGAGTTGATATTTACCGAAGCTGGGAGACAGTAAATCATATCATACTATTATATCTACCTTTATATGTTTGAGATGTTTCATAACAAAAATTTTTTAAAAGAAATGGGGAAAAAACATATAAATATATAAGCTTACCTCTAAATATATACAGCGCCTGTGAGCAGAATATAAAACTTCATTAGAAGATAGTAAAGAATGCCAAATTTAATGAAAAGTGATACCAACTTCATATATTGGAAGGCTCAGGATTTTAAAAATGTTGCTCCTTTCTAAAATAGTCCTTAATTTTAATTAAGTCTAATCAGAATTCTAACTAAAATTTTAATGGAATTTTAGTAATCGAAATTTTATATTGAATTTAAAAGGGAAAAAGTATAACCATGGCATTTGTGAAAAAAAAGTGGAAGGATTTGCTCTATTAATATTCAGTTTAAAAGTATAATAATTAAGAGAGTGTGGTGTTCATGAAGAAAGAGACATATTGACTAATGGAATTAAATAAAAAGCCCCAGAAAGAGAACAAGGCATATATAGAATTCTGATATGAAAGATAAAACATTGTAGATTGGCGGGGAAAGAAGGAGATATTCCATTTATGGATATGGGATAACTGACTATTCATATTAGAAAAAGTGAAATTGGATCTCTATTTGTATCTTACACAAAACTAAATTCAAAATGGATGAAGAGTGTAAATTTGAAAAGGTAAAAGTTCGATAATTTTACAGCAAAATATAGGAAAATATCTACATGAAATATATTTCCCCTTTGTTTTTATTTGACAGGTAATAACTGTACATATTGATGGGATACAGTGTGATATTTTGATACATGCACACAATGTGTAATGATCAAATCAGGGCAATTAGCATATACATCACCTCAAATACTTATTATTTCTCTATGATAGAAACATTCAAAATCTACTGTTCTAGATATTTGAAAATATACAACAAATTGTTAATTTATAGTCACCCTATGGTGCTATGGAAGCTATAATTCATTTTTCCTTTTCCTATCTAGGTATAATTTAAAGCAGATGGTTATTAACACAAACATTACAAAAGGGAAGGGGGATGTGATAAGAGATAGGTAAATGAAGTGCCTAAAAATTAAACATTCATGTTAAACTATTCCTTCAAATGCAATAAAATGTACATTAACCTATGTGTGATATATTACATATAAAATATATGCTAATAAAGGGAGCAGGGAACATTGTAGTGAGAAGGTAAAGAGAGCTGATATTTTTTCACCACTGAATAAGGCAGACGCTTTTAATTTGAGTCAGATTTTTTTAAGCAACCCTTTCAGCTGTCTCCTTAACTTCCACCAAGGAGATATAGATATATATATATATATATATATATATATATATATATATATATATATATATATCCTTAAATACATTTCCCTAAATATATTTTTGCAATAAATAGCTTCTATATATAATGTATATATATAATTTTACAAATCATCATATATATAATTTTACAAACCATCATATATATATATATACACACACACACACAATTTTACAAACCACCTCTGAACTGACCACAAAGTTTAAGATAGGGAGACTTGGAGAAACCGGAAATATTTTGGTTTGAGAGAAGAGGGAGAGCTGCCCTGCCCTGCCCTGCCCTGCCCTCCCCTCCCCTCCCCCCTGCCCGCCGGCCGCGCCCTGCCTTTCTTTCTTTCCCTTCCTCCCTTCCTTCCTACCTTCCTTCCTTCCTTTTTTCCTTCCCTCCTTCCTTTCTTTTTCCCTTCATTCTTGCATTTTGCTCACCCACGTTTTACAGCAGAAAGGGTTTATGGTAGCCAAAGGTACGGTATACATTTTGCTGTTCATTCGAACAAAGGGAACAGATGAATGAGGGTGATTATGTATATATCAATTATAAATCCTTTTGGTTATCCACAAGAGAAACCCTAACATAATGCCTTAAATAATAAAGACACTAAAGTATCTCACTTCATAAGTCTGGAGCTCCATAGTTCCAAGTTGAGTTTAGTGGTTATATTAGGCTGCTGTGTCAGCTTCTCAAATCTCTCAGCTTTGGCTTTTCCTTCAGGATTGCAAGACAGATTACACTGCTTCTAATCTGATATTTTTACTGCAAAGTATCAAAAGAAATATTAATTGACTTTGCACATATTGCCCAAGTGCCAACTAGGAGTCAGGGATGTGCCACATTCTATAATACTAGAAGTAGACCCACACAAGGAAGAATAACTTCACCCCTAAATCCCAATACTGTTCCTATTGAGTAACACTGGCTTAGACCAATCACAGTTCATCCTCTATGGCTGGGCAGGTGGCACTTGACCAAACTTGTGATTCTGTTAGGAAGGAAGAAGAGGGATGGCGAGCGAGTAGATAAGTATCGGTGACTACAACAGGCAGGACCAACTCCTTTTGAGCAATTCAAATGTGTCAAATACTCTGCTCAGCAGTTTATGTACATTATATCATTTTACTGTCAAGTAAGCCTTCAAGAAAGTTTATTATTGTCCGCACTTTACGGGTGAGAAGACTGAGCCTCAATTTGAGAAAAGTAAGGCATTTCCCTAAGCTCCTTTAGCTAACAAGTAGCATCATCCAATTTCATGCTCGGTGTTCACAGAACTTCACCTTTTTATCAAAACAACAACAAAACTTGATTTCTATAATCATGAAGTATACACAGAGCGATAAACATCTCTGACTTTGCTTCTTCAAGTTGATAAGTGACTCACATAGAAAAATGTGCTTCATGGAATCTAGTCCTTCATTGATTCTCTCATGAATGATGATTATTAACTTGCTCAGACCATCCCTATACTACTTATAACTGGCTTTAGAATGAATTCCCACAGCTTGCACTGCCTTACATAAACCTAATGTTAAATATTTAGTATAACAAGGGTTCTTTTAACACTGATATTTGAAAAAGTTTATATACTTTTTCTAAGCCTCAGAATACAAAATATGTTGTAATATCATCCATATTGGTAAATCATATTTTCAGTTTGTCCTCAATTTCAAGTAAATCCTCAGCCAAATAAACTAGAAAGCTAATACATCACTTTAATTACAATAAATGGAAGTTGCCCTAAATATATTTCTGCAATAAATAGCTTCTATTATTAATTTTTGAAAGATTAATTTAAGGGGAGATTATTCTCAATAAAATTGGGGATCCTTGGCTGTGAACTGCTATTCCTCATCTATGTATGTTATATACCATTTTTATTCCTCTACCATGGAAAAACTAATTTCCAATTTTAAGGCATTTGAACACATACATTTATTAAGAAACTATCAATATTGTAAATTATATTCTTCATGGTGCCTCACTGGCTAAATTTAAGATGGCAAATTTCTGTAGCGTAGATATAATAAACAAGGCTTAGTTTAGAAAAAAAAATACTGCTTTTCTAGAATTACAATAATATGCTCTACTATTAAAATTAGAAGAAACTTAGTTTTTCCATTGGCATAAAATTGTTTCCCCATTGGGAACATTTCATACATAGTGATAATTAATTATGGTAGATGTCTTGATTAGTGAATAGAGCATGAGCTTCAAAACCAGGATGATTTGACTTTCAGTTCCAGCTTTGCTTTTCTAGCTATGTGGTTTTGGGCAAATTATTTAACCTATCTAGGCTTCAGTACCTTCTTCAAAATAGAGGTACTATTCAACTATGAGATAATATTCACATCATGTGCATTTTGTAAATTCTAATCATTAATAATAATTAAGTTTTGGCCATTTTGTGAAGCAACAAAGACTGAGAGGTTGTGGCTGCATTGCCAACCTGGAGCAGCAGTAGCCTTCTGCACATAGAACCTGGGAGTAGGAGACTCAGAATCAAATCTCTTCTCCTTCCCCCATCCTAGCTCTGGCTTTGGGAGAAACCTTACAAACACAATGGCTAGCAATGTTACCAACAAGACAGATCCTCATTCCATAAATTCCTGTGTGTTTATTGAGAATCTCAGAACTCTTGAGGTCAAGAACTCTGAAGTGGAGGCAATCTTTTTGTAGTATGACAAAATTGTGGGTTGCTCTGTTCATAAGGGCTTTGCCTTTGCTCAATATGTTAATGAGAGATACCCGGGCTGCTGTGGCAGGGGACAATGGCAGAATGATTGCTGGCCAGGCTTTAATATTCATCTGGCTGCAGAGCCAAAAACAAAGTGAGGAAAAGCAGGTGTAAAATGATCTGCAGCAGAGATGTATGGCTCCTCTTTTGACATGGACTATGACTTTCAATGGGATTATGATAACAGGATGTACAGTTACCTAGCACGTGTTCCTCCTCCTCCTCCCATTGCTCGGGCCATTTGTCCTCAAAAGGCCAGAGTGCATTAGAAAACACCTCACAAAGGGGTGAAAGTGGCTTTAATTCTGTGTGGACAAGGGGATCTCCCAAGTCTGGAAAGTTGAACAGAGGTGACGTTTAGGCTGTGAAGAAGGAAGTGACCCAGATAAAACAAAATGTGTATTCTCCATTGAAAAACATGAAAAAAAAATTGAAAAGGAACAGAGCAAACCAGCAATAGAGATGAAGAATGATAAGTCAGAAGAGGAGCAGAGCAGCACATCATTGAAGCAAGATAAGACTAATGTGAAGATGGAGTCTGAGGGGGATGCAGATGACTCTGTTGAGGGGGACCTGTTGGATGATGATGATGATGATGAAGCTGAGGGATGACCAGCTAGAGTTAATCAAGGATGATGAACAAGAGGCTGAGGAAGGAGAAGATGACGGAGAAGACGACAAAGACAACGCCAATGGCGAGGATGACTCTGAAGCATATTGTGGGGTTTAGAAATATTATCCAATTATTTCCTTACCTAGGTGCTTGTAAGATCAGCTCTTTCACCAGATTCTCTCCCCTAGTACCTTCAGAGCATGCCCACTGTTCTCACCATCCTTGCCCTTCCCATTAATTCACATTGCCCTGTGCCTAGTCCCATTTCACTTCCTTTGATGCTCTTTGTAGTTTTGCAGTCTTACTTTGTAATTTATGCTTTTAATTTTTAATCCTATTTTTAAATTTTAAAAATAGGATTTTAAATTTTAATCCCATTTATGACTGAACAATAAAAAGAATGTATGGTTATTATCAACTGTCTCCAAAAGAATCTCTTGTTATGCATTGAGTGCGGTTCTTTTGATTCATACATAAATTCAGTAGTTGCTTCCCTAACTGCAGAGTCAATCTCATTTATTTGAGTAGCACCGGAAACCGTCCTTGAGTTAAAAGTATATATGTTATATTCTCACATAAGTTTGCTGTGTGAGGCAGTTCAACACAAATGTAACAATGTGTTTTTGTGAATGAGAGTTGGCATGTCAAATGTATTTTTTTAGAAAAGTAATCAGCATTACTGTTTTAAGATTTGTTCTGTAAAGTTGATACTGTGGGATATTTTTGTGAACAGTCCGATATTTGGGACCTTTTTTTCCTCAAAATAAACAGGTCCTTATTAAACCAGGAATTTGGAGAAAAAATTAATATCATAATCATATACTCATTCAGAGTCCAGAACTCTTTATCCATGTGCCTTGGTGGAATGCATGATCTCAATCAATCCAAATCAGATCACTGCCGGAACCAGTAGTCAACTATTCAGCAAAATGTCGGGATGGTGTGGTAGAGATAGATTTTAAACCATAAGTAGAACCCATAAGATTTAATGATTGACTTGAGATGAGTGTGGAAAAATAAATAGTCCAGAACCATACCTGAGTAACTATGGCTTAAGTTATTCAGCAAATGGGGGTACCATTGATAAGAAAATGAATTCTCAAGAAGAAGCAGGTTTGGGGAGACAGAGAGAGAGAAAAAGAGAGAGAGAGAGACTTTTGAAATTGAAACTTTTAGTTTTCACTTTGGGGTATCCTTGGGACATTCAAAAACTGACAGCTAGATGGCAGCTTACTAAATGGCCGGGAAGTCAATGGAGAAGTTTCAGATAGGTCTAGAAAAATAGACATTACTAGTATAGTTGAAATAACTGGAACTACTAGTGTGAGTGAGATGAATCTAGAATTGTAATTTTAAGATGGCAGTTTTATTCAGAAAATTAAAGGGTGTAAAGGGTAGGAAGAGAAACAAGAAAAGAAAATATATCCAGACCTGTTTATCCGACTGTTCACTAAATAGCCACACGCACTTTTTATCTTTATAATGCATTACTCATAGCATTCCGAAAGAATCAGTGTATATGCTATCACTTCTACCTAATATGCCCTTTCTACTTTCCCAGCTACTCCCTATTGTTATCTTTTAGCTAACTCCTTTTCATTTCTAGGATTCCATTTAATATCGACTAACCCAAAAACCTAACCTGTAAACTCCATTTAATTTCAACTAACCTGGAATGCTCTATGTACATTTGTATCACAGTAGTCGTTATGGACTGAATTATGTCTCCTTCCTTCAAATTTGTATGTTGAAGTTTTAATCCCTAGTCCCTCAGAATGTGACTGTATTTGGATATAGAAATTTAAAGAAACAATTGACATTAGATGAAGTCACTAGGATGGGCCCTAATCCAGTATGACTTGTATTCTTATGAGGAGTCTGTGACACATAGACACACACAGAGGAAAGACCATGTGAAGACAAAGGGAGAAGATAAGCCGGCCATCAACAAGCCAAGAAAAGAAGTCTCAGGAGAAACCCAACCTGCTGACACCTTGATCTTGGGTTTCTAGCTTCCAGAACTGTGAGAAAATAAATTTCAGTTTAATCTACTCAGTCTGTGATACTCTTGTAATGGCAGCTCTAGTAAACTAATACAGCACTTTAACACATATACTGAAAGAACTGAAATCAGAACTTTGAAGAGATATCTGAACTCCCACGTTCATTATAGCCTTACTCACAATAGACAAGGTATGGAAACAGGTGAAGTTTCCGTTGACAGATGAAGATTTTAAAATGTGGTATATACGTACAATGGGATATTATTCAGCCTTGAAAAAGAAAGAAATTCCATCATATGCAATAACATGTATCAACCTAAAGGACATTATGTTAAGTGAAATAATCTGGTCACAGAAGGACAAATACTGCATGATTCCACTTACAGAATGTATCTAAAATAGTCAAAATCATGGAAACAGAGAATACAATTGTGGTTTCCAGGGGTGGGAGGTGGTATAGGGGAAATGGAAAGTTGTTTTTCCATTGGTAGAAAGATTCTATTATGCTAGATGAATAAATTCTACAGATCTGCTGTACAATGTAGCACCTATAGTTAACAAAATAGTACTGTGCACTTCAAAATTTAAGAGGATAGATTTTGTGTTAAGTGTTAGTACTGCAAAAACAAACAACAAGTAACAGAAAGGGACACAAAGGAAATTTGGTAGGTGTTAGATATGTCTATTATCTTGATTGTGATGATAGTATTAAAGGTATTTGCGTGTGCACAAACTCCTCAAATTGTACTCATTGAATATGTGCAGTTATTTGTATATCAATTAGATTTCAACAAAGCTGGTAAAAAATAAGAGTTGACTAGCAAAACCAAACAGCACAAAAATGTCAAAATAGAAATTTAAAAATGTATATTTTATAGAGGCAATTGGGACACGTTCAAATATGACTGGGCAAAGAGTAGACCCAGGCAACATGAGGCAGAGAAAAAAAAATGCTTTTGTAATAAATCTATAAGACAACCTGACACAAAATTGATGCCCATAGGCTTATGAATGTTGTGGTGTACTTAGAGGTTCTTCTTGTGGATAATAGGCAAACTGTTGTAGCTCTATGCTATAGCAGATCTTTGGATTTACAAGGTATATATTTTTGTATCAATGATATAATTTTACCTTTGCACCAGGCACGGTGACTCGCACCTGTAATCCCAGCACTTTGAGAGGCTGAGGTGGGTGGATTGCTTGAGGCCAGGAGTTCAAGACCAGCCTGGACAACATGGCGAAACCACATCTCTTCTACAAATACAAAAATTAGCCAGACATGGTGGTGCATGCCTGTAATCCCAACTACTCAGGAGGCTGAGTCAGGAGAATCACTTGAACCTGGGAGGTAGGGGTTGCAGTGAGTTGAGATTGTGCCGTTGCACTCCAGCCTGGGAGACAGGGCGAGACTCCATCTCAAAAAAAAAATAGTAATAATGATAAAAAACTTAGGTCTGAAATTTCGTGTATATTGGTCATAGCATGAAATATGTCTCCCACTATTACTGTGTGGGAGTTTAAATCTCTTTGAAAGTCTCTCAGAACTTGCTTTATGAATCTGTGTGTTCCATAAATATATATGCACCCAACACGTATCCATAAAGCGAGGTCTGTAAGAACTTGCTTTAAGAATATGTGTTGGGTACATACATATTTAGAATGGTCAGGTCTTCGTCTCGAATTAAACCTTTTACTACTAAGTAATGACACTCTTTGTCTTTTTTGGCTTTTTTTTTTTTTTTTTTTTTGGTTTAGCACCTGTTTTGTCTGAAATTAGGACTGCAACCCCTACTTTTTTTCTGTTTTCATTTGCTTGGTAGATTTTTCTCAAACCCAAATCAGCTTCTTTCAATAACACATTCTGCAAGGAGAGCTAGTATTCTGGTTACTATTCCCTGGCTATCAGAATCTTAACTGAAAAGAAAGGCAGGGTCTATTTACTCCAGGAAATTATATGTGACTAACTGAAGGAATTCTGAAATATAGATGATTAAATTATTTATGTTAAATGACTCTACTAAAATTCTGCAAAGAGAAGGTCCAGTTTACTATACATACTTATATCCAATGCACAACAGTCTAAGATACATACTATTTTAAGAATTTTATTTGCCAGTGGGAGAATAAAGGTAAATAAGATATCATCTTTGTACTCCAGAGCAAGGGACACCAGTGGATAATACAAATACATCAGGCAAATATGTCTTATATTGTAATTCATTTAGTCAACAAATATTTACAGAGCGCACCAAAGTTAAACTTGAGTGACACTGCTACTACACTACCTCTAGAGATTATAGTCAGCTTACCCGTCACCCTTACTGATACCACATGAAGCAGCATCCCATGAAGCCAGGTGACAGCCACCACTGGTTTTGTTTTTGAATTTGCTAATACTTTGATTTACTAGCATACATACGTAACAGACTGGGACTAACAGTTTCAATATTGACTCAGTTGAGAATGTAGTTCAAACAACACTACTTGCATACTTTCATTCCTACGTTTCAGACATCCACTGGAACAACTGCTATACAAAGAAATGCCCCCTTCAACTTTGGTGGGTAATACACAGGTACTTAGTGCCGTCATTGCCAATTCAAGGCCCAACACTATTTGCCTTAATAGAAAACACTCCGACTTTGCTTTTGCCCCTGGGCTCTCAGTACGTCAACAACTACAGGTTGTGTAACTTGTAGTTGTGTAGTGTGGAGTTTAATTAAAATTAACAGGAACAGCTGGAGCAGTTTCTACTACTTCTACAATAACTTTAATCACCTTTTCCATCAAAGGTGCCAAACTGGGAACACTCATATAGACACTTTTTTGGTGAATTGATTAGAAATCAGTCTCATTACAAAGAAATTTCCTTACCTAACTGGCCAGGATAGTTGGATACTAGAGGCCAGAGAGTCCTAGGTGAAGGCCAGAGTAGGGATTGCGGTAGTTAAGCAAGGAAATAAAATGTTTAAAGCTCCATGTTTGAGCTTATATGCAAGTAACAGAAAGATGAAATCAGTTATGTGACATCTTTCACTGACAAACTCAGTAGTAAGAACAGGAAGAGAAAAGGAAGAGAAAGGTGGGAAGGAAATTATGCTTACTGAGGTCCTACAATCTGCCAACTATTTAGTTAAACACATTGAACCTTATGACAGGTCCATGAAGGAGAAAAAGAAAACTCATAGAAATTAAGTAACTTACCCAAGGTCACATTCTTAGAAAGCTCTTGCTATAGACTGAATTGTTGAAGCCCTACTCCCTAATGTGATAGTATTTGGAGATGGGGCCTTTGGGAGATAAGTAGGTTTAGGTGAGGTCATAAGGCTAGGGCCCCCACGGTAGGATTAGTGCTCCTGTGAGAAGAGGAAGAGTCTTTTTCTCTCTTTCTGTCTCTCTCTCTCTCTCTCTCTCTGCTGTCTACAAACCAAAAGAAAAAGGTACATCCAACTCTAAGCCAGGAAGAGAGTCCATACTACAGCCTCACCGTCCTGGCACCCTGATTTGGGACTTCCAGCCTCCAGAACTGTGAGAAAAAACAAAACAAACAAAAAAATACACTTCTGTTGTTTAAGCCACTGAGTCCATGGTATTTTGTAATGGCAGCCCAAGCAGACTACCACTGTAGTACAAGTAAAGCTACACTTTAGAGCTGAAAATTTCAAAGTCATGATTATCTCATTTCAAAGTTTGCTTTCTTTCTACTTAAATTTTACAGTTACATTTATAGGACCCGGTTGATTCACAAGGAATCTAAAAGGATGCTGAAGCCAGAGTTAATCTTATCAGTGGCTGTAGTCTTCATAAAGAACTATTATAAGACTGTCAATTCTTCACCAAAATTTGTTAGACTCTGCTTCTTTCTTAATCTTTAAGCATCCTAATTTTTTCTTAGGTCCTAAAAATTCTCATCATAACAAAGATATCAATATTGACATCTAACACCCAGTCCTGAACACCCAGGACTTTCTCCTCCTTAAATTCACTTACCTTGCTAAATTATGAATGCAAACCCTTTCACGAAACTGCTTTATTTTTAAAATCCTAAGGATATGGATGTCTAGACACAGATAGTAAATGTCTCCTCATGGTAGAAGAAGCAGAATAGCATTATTATTGCAGGAAAAGATTGACTAGGATAGTGTATTAGCCCGTTTTCACGCTGCTGATAAAGACATAACTGAAACTGGGAAGAAAAAGAGGTTTAATTGAACTTACAGTTCCACAGGGCTAAGGAGGCCTCAAAATAATGGCAGGAGGCAAAAGGCAGTTCTTACATGGTGGCAGCAAGAGAAAATGAGGAAAATACAAAAGCAGAAACCCCTGATAAAACCATCAGATCTGGTGAGACTTATTCACTACCACAAGAAAAATATGGGGGGGAACCGCCCGCATGATTCAAATTATCTTCCACTGGGTCCCTCCCACAACATGCGGGGCTTATGGGAGTGCAGTTGAAGATGCGATTTGGGTAGGGGCACAGAGCCAAACCACATCAGAACACTAGGATTCACCAAAAAAGAGAAAGGAAACACTAAAAGTAATCAAGGAGAGGGTTCAGGCAGCTTGCCTTGCCAGGAACTGACTGAGACCCAAAAGAGTCTCTCCTGGACATAGAATAACAGTAAGAGAGAAACTCCCATGGCTCAGGTTATATGATATTGGCTACAGGAGACATCTTGGACCCACCAGGGCCTTGGGCCTGACATACAGAGCTGTGTAACAATTGCACAGAGACATTGCTCCAGAAAGGGAACCCACATGAAATCCCACAGGCATTCATGCTTACAGAAGCCCCAGCCAGAGGCTTTTGAGAGCCCAGATACCAATACTGAAGAAATACAGACATGGCTACTGCTGCTGTTCTGCTCCAAAAGGGAGAGGGCAGACAGGGCACTCTCGCACACCACTAGGGGAATGGATCCCTGCTATCCTACTGTGGGCTACTGTTGAGAATGAGACTGTACTCTCCACAGCTTCTTGTCTATGCTGCTTGCCTGGGAGAAACGTTGCCATCTATGGTTTTAGAATCAAGGAACAATTCTGAGAGTATACACTGTGCTGTGTCCCCACCTGCAGTCTGAGTTTGGGCTGACATAGCTGCAGCCCCTGCCCAGCCAAGGAGGGTAAGGGAAACCAGTCCCTTGTATGAAAATCTAGAAAAAATATCCACTACTCTGTAATGGGTTGCTGTGAGGCTGGAGTGGTTCACACTCCCCACAGCTCCTTGTCCATGTTTCTCATTTGAGAGGGGTCCTTCCCTCTCTGGTCATAAGCCCAACAGCTGGTACCATTTTGAACGTTTAAGCAGGGTTGCATACAACCCTTGATCTGAGTTTGAGGTAACATGGCTGCAGCACCACCAAGCCAGGGGAGGGACAGAAGAGACCAAGCTCTTCTAGCACAGTTAGGACAATACCCACTGCACTGCTGTGAGTGGCTGCGGGACTGGGAACTAGCTGATCCAACCCATTGTAGCTACCAGGAACAGCAACACTGACTGCTTGCATCCCAGTGGGATGCTCCACCACTGCTACTGCCATCACCCACACCACACCAGCTGCACAAGGTCCTGAGAACACACCCACACACCTGGTGCATTGCTCCCAATACTTGCTTCTAAGGAAGATACTTGGAGGCCCAAGAATAAGCCCTCCAGAGCCCACTAATACTGGAGACAGTGTAAGCTGCTCTGAGGCATAAAAACAGGCACACCCATCCCAATTCTGCCCCCACTGGGACCTGAAGACTGACTCACTTGGTATCCAAGCCCCGAGAAAAACTTTACCACAATGTCAACTAATAACTGTACCCTAAGCCACAGAGGAAGTCACAGATACCACAGACCCTATGTACTGCCAAATAAGTCATACAAAGATCACACTATGGCAGGCATTCAAATTCAAAGCCCAAGTATCTTACTCAATCAACAACATACGTACATCTTCAGGAAAATTTCTTACCTACAAAAGCAATTTCAAAAAAAAAAATGGAACAAGTGATTGTTACACCAGAGGTGCAGATATCAATGGAAGGATAAATAAAACATACAAAGTAAGACAATATGACACTACCAAAAGACCACAACAATTGTTCAGCAACAGGTCCCAATCAAAATTCTTCAAAATGCCAGATAAAGAATTTAAAATATTAATTTTAAATAAGCTAAATTAGATGCAAAATAAGTCAGAGAACCTATACAAAGTAATCAGAAAATCAATTTAGGATATGAAATAGAAATTTACCAAGGAGACAGATATCTTAACAAAAAGCAGAAAATCTGGAAATAAAAAAAAATATTGAAGGAAACACAAATTACACTTGAAAGCTTCAATAATAGACTATATCAAGAAGAAGAAAGTATCTTAGAACTTGAAGATAGGACTTTTAAAATAATCTAGTCAGATAAAAGTTAAAAAAAAATTAGTGAACAAAGCCTTTGAGGCATCTGGGACTAAATATAGCAACTGAACTTATTGGTATTCCTGAGGGGAAAGAGAGCAAAAAGTTTAGGAAACCTATTTAAAGAAAGAATTGATGAACTATTACTCAATCTAGCAAGAGAGTCACATATCCAGACACAGGGGTCCCAGATATCCCCAGTAAAAATACATCAGAAAAAAAGACTTCACCATGACAAATTATACTCAGAATGTCTAAGGTCAAAGTGAAAGAGTTTTACAATTAGCAAGAGAAATGCGCCTAGTCACCTACAAAGGAAACCCCATCAGACTAACAGTAGACTTTTCAGCAGGAACTTTACAGACTAGAAAAAAATGGGATGGCATTTTCAAAGTGCTAAAAGAGAAGAAAAATAACGGCCAAGAATTTTATATTCTGCCACAATAAGCTTCATAATGAAGAAGAAATAAAATGTTTTCCCAGAGAAGAAAATGCTAAGGGAATTTGTAAACACAAGACTGGTCTTACAAGCTCAAAGGGGTGTAAAACATGGAAACAAAAGGTCAACATTAATGATCATGAAAAAATATATAAAAATATAAAGCAATCACAAAATTAAGGAAGAAAAAGTAATCAAATGGTAACACAACATAATCTCATCAAAATACAAGGACTAAAAGACAAAGAAAAGGAAAGAAATAATGTAAAAAATAATTTGAAAACAATTAACAACATGACTGGAACAAAGCCCAACATATCAATATGAACCTTGAATGTAAATAGAATAAATACTCCACTTAAAAGGTACAGATTGGCAGAATTGATAAAAATATATAATCCGACTATATGCTGACTACAAGACATGTGCCTTACCCATAAAGACACATATAGACTGAAAGTAAAGAGGTGGAAAAATATATTCCACATGAGCAGAAACCAAAAGTAAGCAGAAGTAGCTATACTTACATTAGATAAAACAGTCTTTAAATAAAACATGGTAATAAAATGTTAAGGTGGCCAGGCGCAGTGGCTCACGCCTGTAATCTTAACATTCTGGGAGACCGAGGTTGGCGGATCACCTAAGGTCAGGAGTTCAAGAGTAGCCTGGCCAACATAGAAACCTTGTCTCTACTTAAAAAATAAAAATTAGCTGGGTGTGGTGGCGGACGCCTGTCATCCCAGCTACTCGGGAGGCTGAGGCAGGAGAATTGCTTGAACCCAGCAGGCAGCGGTTGCAGTGAGCCAAGATCATGCCACTTCACCCCAGCCTGGATGAAAGAGCAAGATTCTGTCTCAAAAATAAATAAAAATAAATAAATAAATAACAGGTTAAGGTATAATGATAGGAAGATCAATTTAGCAGGAAGATATAATAACCCTAAATATATTTGCATGTAATATCAGATCACCCAAGTTTACAACATAAATATTAGTATATCTAAAGAAAGAGATACATTTTTTTTAAGACAGGGCCTCACTCTGTCACCCAGCCTAGAGTGCAGTAGTATGATCATGGCTCACAGCAGCCTCAACTTCCTAGGCTCAGGTGAGTCTCCCACCTTAGACTTCCACATAGCTGGGATTACAGGCACAGCATCACGCCTGGATAATTTTCTGTACATTTTGTAGAAATTAGGTTTTGTCATGTTGTCCATGCTGGTCTCAAATTCCTGGGCTCAAGTGATACACCTGCCTCAGACTCCCAAAATGCTGGGGTTACAGGCATGAGCCACTTAGCCTGGCCAACAAATTTTTAAAAATCAAAATTATATCAATGTATCTTCTGAGACTAAAATTGAATAAAGCAAGACATCAACACTAAAAATAGGTTTGGAAAGTATATAAATCCATTTAAATTAAACAATAAATTGAAACCATCACTGGAAATTGAACAATCACTGGAATATCAAAAACATTAAGTTATAAAATTTTTTAAAAAGTGAATGAAAATGAAAACACAGCATCCAAAAACTTGTGGAATACAGTGAAGGCAGTGCTAAGACGAAAATGTATAGCATTAAATGCTGACACAAAATAGTTGAAAAATCACAAATTTACAACCTAATGTCATACCTCAAAGAACTGGAAAATCAAGAATAAACCAAATCTGAAATCAGCAGAAGAAAATAAATAACAAAGATCAGAGGAGAAATAAATGAAATAAACATCAAAATAAAAGATACAAAGGATCAATGAAGTGAAAAGTTGGTTCTTTGAAAATATAAATAAAATTGATAAAAATCTATCTAGGTTAATTAAGAAAAGAAGAGAGAAGACCCAAATAAACACAGCCTAAAATGAAAAAAGAGATTGCAACTGATACCACAGAAAAACAAAAGATTATCAGAGTCTATTATAAACAACTACATGCTCACAAACTAGAAAACCTAGAGAAAAATGAATAAATTCCTGGAAATATACAACCTCCCAAGATTGAACCAGGAAGAAATGAAACTCCTTAACAAACCAATGATGAGTAGTGAGATTTATTTAGTAACAAAAAATAATAACCCAGACCAGATGAATTCATAGCTGAATTCTATCAAACATACAAAGATGACCTAATACCAATATTTCTGAAACTATTCCAAAAAATTGAGGAGTCGGGAATTGTCCCCAACTGATTGGATTAGGCCAGTATCACCCTGGTACCAAAATCAGACAAGGTCACAGCAAAAAAAGAGAACTACAGCCCAATATACCTGATGAACATAGATGCAAAAATCTAAAAATAAAAAAAAAGATAAAAAATAATAAAAAAATCTAGTAAATCAAATTCAACAGCACATTAAAAAAAATACACCATGAACATGTGGGATATATGCTGGGGATGTAAGGATGGTTCAACATACACAATGTGTCAGTAAGTGTGACATATCCAATAAACCGAATTAGAAACAAACACTAAATGATCACCCCAATATATACAGAAAAAAGCATTCAGTAAATTCAGCATTGCTTTATGATAAAAATTCTCAAAAACTAGGCATAGGAGTAAAATACCTTAACATAATAAAAGCAATATATGGCAAACTCACAGACAGTATCAATTTATTGGGAAAAGTTGAAAACATTCCCAATGACAACTGGAAAAAGACCAGGATGCCCACTTTCATAACTGTTGTTACACATAGTACTGGAAGTCCTCTCCAGAGCAATCAAACCAAAGAAAAAAAAAGGTATTCACAATGGAAAAGAGGAAGTCAAAATAATCTTTGTTTGCTGAAGATATGATTTCATATTTAAAAAATTTTTAAAGACTCCACCAAAAAGTCACTTAGATTTGATTGATGTATTCAGTAAAGTTTCAGGATACAAAGTTAATGTACAGAAGTCGACAGCATTTCTATACAACAATACTAGTTCAGCCAAGGACCAAATCAAGAAGGCAATTCTATTCACAATAGCTACAAAAACTAAAATAAAATACTCAGGGAAATATTAAACCAAGGAAGTGAAAGATCTCTATAAGTAGAACTATAAAACACTGCTGAAAGAGATTATAGGTGACATAAGTAAATGGAAAAAACATTCCATGGTCATAGACTAGAAGAAATAATATTGTTAAAATAACCATACTGCCCAAAGCAATCTACAAATTCAATGCAAGTGTCATCAAATTGTCAATTATTTTTTCACAGAATTTTTAAAAATTCTTAAAAAAATCCTAAAATGGTGCAATAGGATTGATGGCCCAATAGGAACAGTTCCGGTCTGCAGCTCCCAGCGTGACCGATGCAGAAGACAGGGGATTTCTGCATTTCTAACTGAGGTACCTGGTTCATCTCACTGGGACTGGTTGGAAAGTGGGTGCAGCCCACGGAGGGTGAGCTGAAGCAGGGCGGGGCATCACCTCACTGGGGAAGCACAAGGGGTCGAGGGATTTCCCTTTCCTAGAGGGAAGCCGTGACAGATGGTACCTGGAAAAACGGGACACTCCCGCACAAATACTGCACTTTTCCAATGTAAACGGTACACCACCAGGAGATTATATCCTGCACCTGGCTCAGCAGATCCCATGTCCATGGAGCCTTGCTCACTGCTAGCACACCAGTCTGAGATCAAATTGTGAGGCAGCAGCCTGGCAGGGGGAGGGGCGTCTGCCATTGCTGAGGCTTGAGTAGGTAAACAAAGTGGCTGGGGAAGCTTGAACTGGGCAGAGCCCACTGCAGCTCAGCAAGGTCGGCTGCCTCTGTAGTCACCACCTCTGGGGGCAGGGCATAGCTGAACAAAAGGCTGCAGAAACTTCTGCAGACTTAAACGTCCCTGTCTGACAGCTCTGAAGACAGCAGTGGTTCTCCCAGCATGGTGTTTGAGCTTGGAGAATGGACAGACTGCCTCCTCAAGTGGGTCCCTGACCCCCGTGTAGCCTAACTGGGAGACACCTCCCAGTAGGGGCTGACTGACACCTCATACAGGCGGGTGCCCCTCTGGGACAAAGCTTCCAGAGGAAGGATCAGGCAGCAATATTTGCTATTCTGCAATATTTGCTGTTTTGCAGTCTCCGCTGGTGATACCCTGGCAAACAGGGTCTGGAGAGGACCTCCAGCAAACTCCAACAGACCTGCAGCTGAGGGACCTGACTGTTAGAAGGAAAACTAACAAATAGAAAGGAATAGCATCGACATCAACAAAAAGGACATCCACACCAAAACCCCATCTGTAGGTCACCAACATCAAAGACCAAAGGTAGATAAAACCACAAAGTTGGGGAGAAACCAATATTCGCTGTTCTGCAGCCTCCGCTGGTGATACCCTGGCAAACAGGGTCTGGAGAGGACCTCCAGCAAACTCCAACAGACCTGCAGCTGAGGGACCTGACTGCTAGAAGGAAAACTAACAAATAGAAAGGAATAGCATCAACATCATCAAAAAGGACATCCACACCAAAACCCCATCTGTAGGTCACCAACATCAAAGACCAAAGATAGATAAAACCACAAAGTTGGGGAGAAACCAGAGCAGAAAAGCTGAAAATTCTCAAAACCAGAGTGCCTCTTCTGCTCCAAAGGATCGCAGCTCCTCGCTAGCAATGGAACAAAGCTGGATGGAGAACGACATTGATGAGCTGACAGAAGTAGGCTTCAGAAGGTTGGTAATAAACTTCTCCGAGCTAAAGGAGAATGTTCGAACCCATCATAAGGAAGCTAAAAACCTTGAAAAAAGAGTAGATGAATGGCTAACTAGAATAAAGAGTGTAGAGAAGACCTTAAATGACCTGATGGAGCTGAAAACCATGGCACGAGAACTACATGATGCATGCACAAGCTTCAATAGCCGATTCTATCAAACTACCAATGAATTTCTTCACAGAATTGGAAAAAACTACTTTAAAGTTCATATGGAACCAAAAAAGAGCACACACTGCCAAGACAATCCTAAGCAAAAAGAACAAAGCTGGAGGCATCACGCTAACTGACTTCAAACTATACTACAAAGCTACAGTAACCAAAACAGCATGGTACTGCTACCAAAACAGATATATAGACCAATGGAACAGAACAGAGGCCTCAGAAATAACACCACACATCTACAACCATCTGATCTTTGACAAACCTGACAAAAACAAGAAATGGAGAAAGGATTCCCTATTTAATAAATGGTACTGCGAAAACTGGCTAGCCCTATGTAGAAAGCTGAAACTGGATCCCTTCCTTACACCTTATACAAAAATTAATTCAAGATGGATTAAAGACTTAAATGTTAGACCTAACACCATAAAAACCCTAGAAGAAAACCTAGGCAATACCATTCAGGACATAGGCATGGACAAGGACTATATGACTAAAACACCAAAAGCAATGGCAACAAAAGCCAAAAGAGACAAATGAGATCTAATTAAACTAAAGAGCTTCTGCACAGCAAAAGAAACTACCATCAGAGTGAACAGGCAACCTACAGAATGGGAGAATATTTTTGCAATCTACCCATCTGACAAAGGGCTAATATCCAGAATCTACAAAGAACTTAAACAAATTTACAAGAAAAAATCAAACAACCCCATCAAAAAGTGGGCAAAGTATATGAACAGATACTTCTCAAAAGAAGACATTTATGCAGCCAACAGACACATGAAAAAATGCTCATCATCACTGGTCATCAGCGAAAGGCAAATCAAAACCACAATGAGATGCCATCTCACACCAGTTAGAATGGCAATCATTAAAAAGTCAGGAAACAACAGATGCTGGAGAAAACCGCAATGACATACCATATTACACCAGACAGAATGGCCATATTAAGAAGTGAAAAAACAGCCAGGCGCAGTGGCTTACACCTGTATTCCCAACACTTTGGGAGGCTGAGGTGGGCAGATCACCTGTCAGGAGTTCGAGACCAGCCTGGCTAACATGGTAAAATCCTGTTTCTACTAAAAATACAAAAAAAAAAAATTAGCTGGGCATGGTGGTGTGCGCCTGTAATCCCAGCTACTTGGGAGGCTGAGGCAGGAGAATCTCTTAAACCCAGAAGGCGGAGGTTGCCGTGAGACGAGATTGCCCCATTAAACTCCAGCTTGGGCAACAAGAGCGAAACTCTGTAAATAAATAAATAAATAAAAACTGAAAAAAACAATAGACGTTGGCGAAGATGCAGAGAAAAAGGAACACATACACTGGTGGTGAGAATGTAAATGAGTATAAGAATTATGGAAAACAGTATGGAAATTTCTCAAAGAACCAAAAATAGAACTACCATTTTATCTAGCGATCTCGCTACTGGCTATACACTCAAAGAGAAATAAATTATTATATATAAAAGATACCTGCACTTATATGTTTATCACAGCTCTTCACAATAATGAAGTCAGGCATCAACCTAAGAATTCATAAATGAACAATTGTATAAAGAAAATGTGGTATATATTAAATATATACCATGGAATGCTACTGAGTCATAAAAAAGAATGAAATCGTGTCATTTGCAGCAACATAGATGGGACTGGAGGCCATTATCCTAACTAAAATAACTCAGAAAAAGAAAGTAAAGTACTGCATATTCTCACTCATAAACTGGAGCTATACATTGGTTATACATGGATATAGAGAGTGGAGAAATAGACATTGGAGACTCCAAAAGGTGATAGGGTGGGAGGGGTTTGAGGGTTGAATAATTACCTATTGGATACAATGTTCACTATTCAGGTGATGAATACACTAAAAGACCAGACTTCACCACTACACAATGTATTCATGTATGAAATCTGTACTTGTACCCTCTAAATATGTAAAAATAAAAAAAAAAACTAAATTTACTGTTATTCACTTCAATCTTGATCTCTTATGACACCAAATATGCCACTCAACCATAACTCCAAATAAGCTCTATTTCTTCACTGGTACATGTAATACATTTACCACTTTCACTTCTCCAAGCCCCTTGGCTATCTTCTGGTTATGGTTTCTGTTCAGGCTAGATATCATCTCAGGGATCCTTTCACTAACACCTAGGACCAGCAGTCTTTTTTGTATATGTGCCTGTAGATTGAAATGATATGCAGAGCTGATAACTATTTCAACGCTAAGGCCCTACCCCAGACCATATAGATACACTTTTCTATGGAACATATCTGGGCATTAAATTGCATTTTTTAAAGCTCTACAATCATTTTCAAATGTACAGTGAGGGTTCGGAATCACTGGTTCTCAGGACTTGAACCATAAAGTTATTGGAATAAATACAAAAATCCTTGAGACATCTAAGAATTGGATTTGTAAAAATGAGTGAATTACACATCAAAACATGATACTGCTATATTGAAAATGAACATAGTTTTGGGGAAGCATATAACTTTAACCATGTTATTTGAGTCATGATATCTTTGTGTCATGATATCTTTGTGTCAAGTATTTTCTTAATCAACTAATACTACAAATAGAATTAAAATTATTGAGGGCTATTAATATTGACACTAAAAAGATATTCTGAGACTCTAAACAGTTGGGACCAATTTGCTACTCATGGTAGTATTTCCTAAATAGTCTGCTTTCAAAAACATTTGGAAACACTACATATGCTATCCCTCTTTTAATCTTTACAATGCGCAATAACATATTAAAACCTTTGAGAAATACTGCAATAAAAATAACCTCTTAATTGCATTTCATCAGCAATCTTAAAATTACTTGAGCACAGAATCTTTCCTCCATTCCAAAGAGCATACTGTTTTCCCAAGATATTTCGAATCTTTAAACTGGGATCGCTACAGAAAAGAGAGCATAATGAAACCCCAGATGCTAGCTTTCACAATGCGAGTACTTTTGCAAGTTGTACAATTATGTTTACAATAAAGAATTATTCACTTTCAAATGTAGTTTACAAGGTTAAAGGGATTGAATTCTTGCTTCTTGCTTTTTAAAAATTAGATACCGGTAATAATAATAACAATAATAATAGCTAACCATATGTAATGTGTCACGCACTGTACTAAGAACTATATATTTATTGCCAAATTTGCCTGGCTATATATCGAATCGAATCGGATCGAATCTATCTATCTATCTTCTATCTAATCTATCTCTCTATATATTTATATGTTCTCAACTTTAGAAAGTAGTTACTGTCATTATCAACCTCATTTTACAGATGAGAAACTGAGCCAAATAGAGTTTATGAAACTTACCCAAGGTCATAAAGCTGGTAAATGACAGAGGTGGGTTTTTAACCCACGTCTCTGATTTCAAACCCCACTCTCTGAACTACTTACACTGTGCATATATGAGATATATAAAAATGTATTCAGCTACATACATATCCTAGGAAGTCAGATCTCAAATTTCTAAATAAATAAGATCTAAGTTTTACAACTCAAGGATAGAAGTTTAAAACTGGTTTAACCTGCAAAGAGATGAAATGTATATTTATCAAAAATGCATTGGATAATATGATTTAAGGAAGCTATCTCTAGCTTGCAGTGGACCTGTATTTCCATTAAAACCTACTATAATTCAATAACTAGAATAAATTTTTATAGGAAAACAGGCAATAGTAATATTTATACTATTAGTAGCCAAATTCTAGCTCCTTTTAAACCTGTACTTTACTTTTGATCTATCAGTAGTGCCTTCTACTATGATTAAAAAAAAATTTCAACTTCCTGTTTTCATAAAATAAAAAGCTAAAATTGTCAATTGTTTTACCATTGACTAGGTCTTCTTATAAAACTTTAGAAGGAGCTTGAAAACAATGAACTAATGAATGATTAATAAATTGAGTCCAGTGAAATGACTTACCAAAAGTCACACATCGAGGCTCTCAATGACATGTTCTCTAATCCACAGTGATTGACTCTTGCTTCTGTACTCTTACATCAGTTGTACTTTATTACATCCACATCATGCCTAGTACACCATCCCCCATTACTAAGACAGTTGATAATTACAAAATATTTAATTTTAATGAGGCATCAATTTTAAAAGCCAGGCAAATTTGGCAATATTTGTTCTAGACACACTATTTGATCTAATTTTCCTAGAATAAGACTATAGCATCTAATGAATAACAGTCCCAATTCTAACTAATGTGGCCTAAAAGTGAACTTCTGTCATCATCTAATATGACTTCTGTATCAACTTGTGAAGGAGTGTCTTCATCATTAGTTCAGATTTTTCTACAATTGTGTGTTGATGTTTTAAATAAACACATTTGGGGGGGATTGTATTGATTATAGACAGTGAATACATGATTCTAACAAAATGTTAATATCCACTTATTTCTTAAATATTTCAGTCAAGATGGAAACTCAAAGGCATTTAACTCACCGACTCCCTCGCAAATCTAAACAGAATGAAAAATCTAAATCAACAATGGAAGCTGGAAGGCATATGCTTCTGGTGGGAACATAAATAGGTGCTTTTTTGGAGGGTAAATTGGCTACTTTGTTTAAAATCCCTAAAAACATTAATACACATATCAGTTGCACTCCCAAGAAATTATACTAAGAAAATAATCCAGTATATTTAAAAACTTAAATATTTCCATTATAGATTTATAAACTCATAATAAAAACTTTGAGCTACTAAATGTTCAAATATTTAGCAAATTCATATTCTATTTTAGAATAAGTTACTATTGACAAGGAAACATGTTTACAATATATTAGCTTTTTTCATAAAATAAAGATGTTCACTTTTGCATATTAGTTTTACATAAATATAGTCTATATGGTAGGAATCAGTTTATATGTATGTTTTATTCTGTTTTAAAATATTTCCTAAGATATTTTCCCAAGATTTCCTCTGTCAGTTATATATCACGAAATAAAGCAGGTATAATCTAATTTTTGCGAAATATTGGTGTGTGTGTGTCAGGAATAAAGGTACAAGATACAGACAATACTCTATAGTATGTCTCAATGCATGTAAGATATTTTATGTACATACATGTATGTATATGTTATGTAATACATGTATATTTTAAATAGTTTATTTTATTTTTATTGTATTGTATTTTGATATTTTATTTAAATATTTATTAAATATTTATTTTAATATTTTAATATTCTCTGTTTAAATATTTTAAAGATTTTATGTACATACATGTATGTATATGCATATTTCTGGAAGTGCATATAAAGTGTTCAGGACAGGTTGAGGACTGCGATCAGAGGGTTGCACTGCAAGGGAAACTATTTTCAAAGATTTCTTGCGCTGTTTTAAATTTTTATCACAGGCAAGCATACTTTCCACCTAAAAATGAATGTCTAAATATACATATGGATTCTAAACAAAGACTGGAAGGACTCTTCCTTAGAAAGCCTAATAGCTTCCTCCTTTACTGCCTTTGAGTCATTAACTTTGACTTCTCAGTAAACTGTTTTTTGAGAACTATGTAAAACTGAAACTGTTTCCGGGCAAGCTCCCATATTCTTAATCCTCCTCCCTGATTTTTTTATTTTTTAACCAGAGTACTTATGACCATCTAAAAACTGTAGATTTCACTTATTTTACTTGTCTGTTTAATCTGTCTCCATCTCATAAGAATACAAACTCCACAAGTCAGCGCAGAGACTTTTGTCTGTTTTGTTCATTCTGCATCTCCAGCGCCTAGAACAGTGCCTGAGATAATATATGTGTTTAATAAGTATTTGTTAAATGAATAAAAGAGAAAAATACATTGTATTAGTTTGCTAGGGCTGCCTTAACAAAGTATCACAAACTTAATGGCTTAAGCAACAACTGTATATTGTTTCACAGTTCTGGAGGCTACACATCCAACGCTAAGGTATTGGCAGGGCTGATTTTCTCTGAAAACTGTGAAGGATGGATCTGTATCCAGGCCTCTCTCCTTGGCTTGTAGATGGCCATCTTTTCCCTATGTGTCTCCACATCATCTTCCTTCTATACGCATGTCTGTTTCTGTGTCCAAATTTCCCGCTTCTTATAAGGACATGCCATATTAGCTTAGGGCCCACACTAATAAACTCACTTTATCTTGGTTACCCTTGTAAAGATTTTGTCTCCAAATAAGATCACATTCTGAGTTACCAGGTGTTAGGATTCAACACGTGAATTTTGGGAGGAAACAATTCAACCCATAACATATATCCATGTGTTAATGATTTTCCTTTTTTATTTGTGTTTTTCTGTATATGTCAGTTAAAAATCAACGGATGCATTTATATATTTGTAATCAGAAGGCATAATAAAAATAAATATGCTTATATTCATCAAAATAATGCATGCAAGGGTTAAAAAAACAAGTATTACAAAAAAGCATTCAATGACTAAAGAACAAGAGTCACGTTTCCAAGGTTTTGCCATTCATAACTGTACTCCCCAAAGGGGGCTCACTGCGCCCTGCTTCCTTTACTGTAAGTTTAATGTAATTAATCCACTATCTTCATCTGTAGGTTCACAGTGAATGTTACTTTTAATTTCATTATTTCTGTTGAAAGCTGATTACTTGGACAAAATCTGAAGTTTGTGGTGTGAACCATGATTCCGAAGAAATAAATTTACATTTCACTCAACTGGCATGTTCTCCTCTAAAATGGTTATTTTTATCATACGGTATTTGAGTATTTAAAAAAAATCTTTCCTCTTCTTAATAGCTGTTTAAACAATTGTGATAAAAAGAATATTAGGCCTCTTAGATCTAATGAAAATTGCATTATTTTTATTCTCGTGAGACACAGAAATTAATAGTAGTTTAATAAGAAAACTTTTTTAAATGCACTTTGTTCATTTTGTCCTATTCAGAAAAATGATTTGCTTTTTTCTGACTTGGTACATCTCTGAACTGTATTTTAGATCATGGGGTTTTACATTTCAACAAAATATTTTCCAATATCATTAGAATGCTAGAAAGAAACATCAAGCACACTCATAATAAAAGAAAACAGGTCAATGTTTATGTATACCTAGAAAGATAGCCAAAGAAAAAGTACAATGACATTTTGTCTATTGACATCATTTCCCCCCAGCTAAAGTCTGGGAATATTTTCATCCCAGTTACTCAAGATAAAAAAGCAAATTTTAACAATCATATTTTGTACATACTTTCTAACACTGAACAATTGGAAATCTTTTTTGCTGAGAGAGTTTTTCTTTAATCATCAAACTGAAAATTTTGATTAATGATGTTCCACTCAATTTGCTGATGTGTTCTCTTAACTCAAACACATTGATATATATTTCCCCCATGACAGATAGTATTGATCAAATGCCAAACAATTATTATAATAAGGTATATTTGGTTATTCTAACACTATTCTAACTCACATGTTAATGAAGAAAGTAATTTTGCATTTAAACATCAAAAAACAACTTTGAAAAACGTATTATTAATATTTTTTATTGACCAGTTGTGATTATATACATTTATGGAGTACAATGTGTTATTTTGATACAAATATACAACCTGGCATGATTAAACCAGGCTAATTAAGTGAGATCATGACTTACTTGTATTTCCGTGCCTGACTTATTTTACTTAGCATAATGTCCACTGGTTTCGTCGATGTTGTTGCAAAAGGAAGAATTTCATTCTTTTTATGGCTGAATAGCATTACATTGTGTATATATACCACATTTTCTTTATCCACCCATACATTGATGGACATTGAAATTGCTGTCGTATCTTGGTTATTCACAAAACAATTTTTAAAATGTGTTTGTTTTACCCCTCTGCTTAACTATTCTGGTATAATATTGATTTCTTTGTCTATTTATTCTCAGCTTATCAAATTTATCATTTTATGGTATCTAGCAGTTCTCTTTCTCTATGAATTACATATTTCTGCACAAATAATGTATCCATCCACGGTGTGCATCCTTACATCATATTGGTGTGTTTTTTTCAGCTCTTAGAGTCCCGATTGTCTCATCTTCCAAGCTTGCTTGAGAGTACTTTAAAATCAGTCTCTCTTAATTTCTATTGCAATCATTCTGACTTAGCTTTCATTGTCATAATGTTTTTCTATTTAAATTTCACTTTGTCTTATTTTTTCTGCTTTTCCTTTCCAAAGTACTGGTAACTAGCACAAATTGCCCTTGCTTTTTTGCCATTCAACACACTTCCATTTCTCTTACTAACAAATTTCCCTTGTGCCTCTGTTCTTTTCTTTATCCGATTCATATTCAATGAACATTCTGAAGTCCATCCACAAGGCACAGAGGTAAAATTAACATCTCAATTATAACTCTACACTTGGTAGCACATTGATTCTATTTACATGGTTACTGAGATGCATAGCCATGATTTTCCAGATGTATCATGCTCATAGGTATACTTACCTCTGTCTTTCTCAAACTAGATCATCTTAATTTCTAGCTTTTGTGCTCAGAAGTCATAACTATTAAAAAAATTACCATTTTAGAGTTTACGGTGATTAACTTCTTTTCTGAATGTCTCTAGATTTATTCTCTACACTCTTGCTGGCACGTTTCAGTTGTCATTTGATCTATATAACATACCACACCTCTGTGCCTTCACACATGCAATCTCTACTGTTTGGTATCCTATTCTTTCATTTTTCACCTGAATAAGTTACACTCATTAGTTAAGTCTCAACTGAAGTATCACCTCTTCTACAAAGTGTGTCCTGTTTTTCCGTGAGTCTGCATCAACATCTCTTCCTCTTCCCTCCCAATGCATTGTCTATCCCTCTATCACAACACTTACTGCATTGTACTATAACTGTTTCCTCAGCTGTCTTCCCCATTAGGCTGTGTGTCCAATTGTTTCAGGATAATTTGTTCAAAAGGCTACTGTTTCTCTATTGAATTGCCTTTTCAGCTTTATAAAATATCAATTGACTATATTTGTGTGAGTGTATTCCTAGGCTCTCTAATCTATTCCATTGATCTATTCTTTCATTAATACTATGCTGTTTTATAGTCTTTACATTGGATAATGTGGGTCCCCTAACTCTGATCTTTCTTCTTCCTGTTCACTATTGTGTTGGCTATGCTAGGTGTGTTATTTTTTCACATAAACTCTCATAATAGGCTGTCAAAATTTTTGAAAATCTTGTTTGGATTTTTACTGGAATTGTATTGAATCTACAGCTCATGCTTGTTAGAACTGGCACTTAAGTATATCCACTTTTTGAATCCATGAACACAGAATCTCTCTCTATTTATTTAAATTTTCTTTGATTTTTCTCCTCAGTGTAATTTTTCACATATAGTTCCCACAAATATGCCATCATATTTATACCTAAATATTTCATTTTGTGGTGCCATTACAAATGATATTTTTATTTCAAATTCCAATTGTTTGCTGCTGATATAAAATAAACTGACTTTTGTGCATTAATCTTATATCCTGTCGCTTTGTTATATAAATTCCAGAAGTTTTTTTGTTGATTGGAATTTTAGACACATATAGTTATGTCATAAGCAAATACAGATAGTTTTATTTATGCATTTCTAATATGTATACCTTTATTTCGTTCTTTTCTTCTCTTATCTCACTACTGAGATCTTCTAGTATAATGTTCCTTGCCTTGCCTTGTTCCAGATCTTATGGGAAAAGTGTCCAATCTCTCTATTAGCTGTAGCTGTTTTTCTATTTATCAAGTTGAGGAAATTTGATAAGTTTTTACCATGCATGTATATTACATTTTGTCAGATTATTTTTTCTGCCTCAATTTATATGATTACATAATTTTGTATCTTTACTTTGTTGATATGATGGACTACACTGAATGATTTGCATAATCAGCCTTGCATGATGGAATAAATCACACTTAGTTGCAGTCTATCATCCTCTTATATATTCTGGGATTTGATTTATTAATATTTTGTTGGAGGTTTTCGGGTCTATTTATGAAAAACATTGATCAATAGTTTTCCTTCCTTTCAACATCTTTATCTCATTTCTATAGTATATTAGTATAACATGAATATAAAACCTGTGCTGGTCTTACAGAATTAGTTAGGATGTAGTACTTCCGCCTCTGTTTTCTGAAAGAGATTGTAAATAATATTAATTATTCCTTAAAAGCTTATTACTAGGTTGGTGCAAAAGTAATTGCTATTTTTTCCATTAAATTACTTTTTCACCAACCTAATAGAACTCACTAGTGAATCTATCTTGGCCTGGTGCTTTCTCTTTCGTGAGGCTATTAATTTTTATTTCAATTTATTTAATAAATATTGGGCTAGTCATGTGATCTATTTCTTCTGGTATGAGTTTAGGGAGTTTGTGTCTTCCAATGGATAAGCATATTTTACCAAAGTTCTCAAACACACAGAGTTGTCATAATTTTCCCTTGACATCATTTTAATGCCCATGAGATCAGTAGTGATGACCTCTCCTTAATTTCTAATATTGATAATTATATCTTTTTTTTCTTGGTGAGGCTAGCTAGTGTATCAGTTACATTCATCTTTTCAAATAACTATTTTTTTGTTGCACTGATTTTTTCTATTGTTCCTACTTTCAATGTTATTGAGTTCCTCTCTAATTTTTATTTCTTTTCTTCTGTTTGCTTCAGACTTAAACTGCTTTTCTTTAGATTCCTAAGGTGAAAGTTGAGATTACTTATTTAGATGTATCTTCCTTTGTAGTACATGCATTTCAGTGCTATAAATTTCCCTTTATCCAATGTATCTGCTGAATCCCACAAGTTTGGATAAGTTGTATTTTCATATTCATTTAGTTTGATTTTTTAAAAAAACTTGAGATTTCCTCTTTCATCTACGTATTATTTATTTATTTTTTACTTTTATTTATTTATTTTATTTTATTATTATTATACTTTAAGTTTTAGGCTACATGTGCACAATGTGCAGGTTAGTTACATATGTATACATGTGCCATGCTGGTGTGCTGCACCCATTAACTCGTCATTTAGCATTAGGTATATCTCCTAATGCTATCCCTCCCCCCTCCCCTGACCCCACAACAGTCCCCAGAGTGTGATGTTCCCCTTCCTGTGTCCATGTGTTCTCATTGTTCAATTCCCACCTATGAGTGAGAACATGCGGTGTTTAGTTTTTTGTCCTTGAGATAGTTTACTGAGAATGATGATTTCCAATTTCATCCATGTCCCTACAAAGGACATGAACTCATCATTTTTTATGGCTGCATAGTATTCCATGATGTCTATGTGCCACATTTTCTTAATCCAGTCTATCATTGTTGGACATTTGGGTTGGTTCCAAGTCTTTGCTATTGTGAATAGTGCCGCAATAAACATACGTGTGCATGTGTCTTTATAGCATCATGATTTATAGTCCTTTGGGTATATACCCAGTAATGGGATGGCTGGGTCAAATGGTATTTCTAGTTCTAGATCCCTGAGGAATCGCCACACCGACTTTCACAATGGTTGAACTAGTTTACAGTCCCACCAACAGTGTAAAAGTGTTCCTATTTCTCCACATCCTCTCCAGCACCTGTTGTTTCCTGACTTTTTAATGATTGCCATTCTAACTGGTGTGAGATGGTATCTCGTTGTGGTATTATTTAAAAGTGTGTTGTTTAATCTGAGTATTTTAAAAAATTTTTTTAGATATCTATATTGGTTTCTATTTTAATTTCATTGTGTTTTGTGCACATACTTTGTATAATTTATATTACTTTAAATCTGTAAAGGGGTGTTTTATGGCTATGAAATAAATTTTTGTGTTGCCCCAAAATTCATATGTTAAAGCCTATCCCCTAATATGAGGGTATTTGGAGATGAAGACTTTGGTGATTAATTAGGATTAGAGTTACATTAAGTCATTAGGATGAGGCTCTCATGATGAGGGTAATGTCTTTACAATAACAGAAAGAGACTTCACCATCTGATGATAAGCAAGAAGGGGTCTATCTTTAAACCAAGAAGAAGGCTATCTTCAGGAATAGAATTGGCCAACACTTTGATTTTGGACTTCCCAAGCTTCAGAACTGTGAAAAATAAGTTTGTGTTTAAGCCACCGAGTTTACGGTATTTTGTTAGAGCAGCCTGAGCTGACTAAGAGAGTGGTCTACAATGTGCTCCACCTTGGTGGACATTCTGTGTGACTTCAGAAGAACGTGTATTCAACTGATGCTGAATGGAGTATTTCATATTCCATATAAATGTCAATCAGATCAAGTTGAGTGCTAGTGCTGTATAGGTCATCTAACTATATACTTAGATTTTTGCCTGATTGATCTATAAATTATTGACAGTGGATTCTAAAGTTTCCAAATATAATAGTAGTTAGAATGCAAATGTGTTTATCTCTTAGAAAATTAATGCCTATATTACCAAGTAATGCCTGTCTTTACCTTGACAATTTTTTTAAATATTATTTGTGTGAAATGTATATAGCTACTCACGTTTTATTTTGATTAGGGTTCAAATGGTGTAGCTTAATTCATTCCTTTATTTTTCAACTATCCTTCCATGTCTTTGTATTTAACATTGGTTTATTGTAGGAAGCATATAATTTAATCATTTTTTATCCATTCTGACAATCTCTGCCTTTTTTTAAGTTCAGAAATAAATGCAGTTTTTTTATATAAGTAAATTGCATGTCACGGGGGTTTGGAGTAAAGATTATTTCATTACCCAGGTAATAAGTATAGTACCTGACAGGTTGTTTTGTATCATTTCCTTTCTCCCACACTCCACCCTCAAGTAGGCATCGATGTCTGTTTTTCCCCTCTTGGTGTCCACGTGTTCTTGTTGTTTAGCTCCCACTTATAATGGAGAACATGCAGTATTCAGTTTTCTGTTCCTGTGTTAACTTGCGTAGGATAATGGCCTCCAGTTTCATCCATGTTGCTGCAAAGAATGTGATTTCATTCTCTTTTAGGGTTGCATAGAATTCCATTATGTATATGTGTCACCTTTTTTACCCACTCTACCATGGATGGGCATTTATTCTGATTCCATGTATTTGCTATTACGCACAATGCTTCAAAAAAAACTGTGTCTATGTCTTAATAGCACAATGATTTATATTCCTTTGGGTATTATACCCAATAATAAGATTGCTGGGTAAAATGTTAAGTGTCTTTTAAGTTGTTTCACGAATCACCACACTGCATTCCCAATGGCTAAACTCATTTACATATCCACCAGCAATGTATAAGCTGTTCCCTTTTCTTCACCACCTTGCCGTCATCTGTTATTTCTAGGCTCTTTAATAATAGCCATTCTGACTGGTGTGAGATGGTGTCTTATTGTGGGTTTGATTTCTATTTCTCTAATGATTAATGACATTAAGGATTTTTTCATATGCTTGTTGGCTGCATGTATGTCTTCTTTCAAAAAGCGTCTGTTCATGCCATTTGCACACTGTTTAATGGGGTTATTCGTTTTTGTTTATTGCTGGTAAATTTAAGTTTCTGATAGTTTCTCGATGTTAGACCTTTGTCAGATGCATAGTTTGCAAACATTTTCTCTCATTCTGTACAAAGTCTGTTTGAGCTATTCATAGTTCATTTTGCAGTGCAAAAGCTCTTTAGATGATTAGGTCCCATTTTGCAATTTTCTTTTTTGTTAAAATTGCTTTTTTGGCATCTTTGTCATGAAATCTTTGCCAGGTCCTATGTCCAGAAGGGTATTTCCTAGATTATCTTCCAGGGTTTTTAATAGTTTTAGGTTTTGCATTTAAGTAATTAATCCATCTTGAATTGACTTTTGTATGTGGTGTAGGAAAGGGGTCCAAATTCAATCTTTCGCATAAGGTTAGCCAGTTATCCTAGCACTATTTATGGAATTGGGAGACCTTTCCCCATTGCTTGTTTGTTGCTTTGTCAATGGTTCAATGGTCATAGGCATGACATAGGCATGTTCCACTATTTCTCGGCTCTCTATTTTGTTCTATTGGTCTGTGTGTCTGTTTCTGTACCAGTAGCATTCTCTTTTGGTTACTGTAGCCCTGCAGTGTACTTTAAAGTCACATAATGTGATTCCTCCAGCTTTCTTCTTTTTCCTTAGGATTGCCTTGGCGTTTCAGGCTCTTATTTGATTCCATATGAATTTTTAAAGACTTTTTCTAATTTTGTGAAGAATGTCTTTGGTAGTTCGAAAGAAATAGCTTGAACCTGTAAATTGTTTTGGGAAGTATGGCCATTTTAACAATATTGATTCTTTGTATTCATCATCATGGAATGTTCTTCCATTTTTTTGTATCATCTCTGGTTTTTTGAGCAGTGTTTTATAGTTCTTGTAGAGATCTTTCACCTCCCTGGTTAGCTGTATTCCTGTGTATTTTATTTTTACTGTAGCTAGTGTAAATTGAATTGCATTCCTGATTTGGCTCCTGGCTTGGCTATTGGTGCATAGGGATGTTGGTGTTTGTGTATGTTGATTTTGTATTCTAAAATATTGCTGAAGTTGTTTATCACCTGAAGGAGCTCTCAGGCTGAGACTATGAGGTTTCCTAAGTATACAGTTATGTCTTCTGAAAACAGGGATAGTTTGACTTCCTCTCTTCCTGCTTGGATGCTTTTTATTTCTTTCTCTTGCCTGATTGCTCTGGACCGGACATCCAATACTGTGTTGAATAGAAATGGTGGGAGACAGCAGCCCTTTCTTGTACCAGTTTTCAAGGGGAATGCTTTTGGCTTTTGCCAATTCAGCATGATGTTGACTGTGGGTTTTCATAAACGGCTCTTGTTATTTTGAAGTATGTTCCTTCAATGCCTACTTTATTGAGGATTTTTAATATAAAAGAATGTTGAATTTTATCAAAAGCCCTTATGCATCTATTAAGATGGTCATATGGTTTTTGTTTTTAGTTTTCTTCATGTTGAATCACATTTATTGATTCGTGTATGTTTAACCAAACTTGCATCTCAGTGATAAAGCCTGCTTGATTGTGGTGGATAAGCTTTTTGACGTGCTGCTGGATTCAGTTTGCCAGCGTTTTGTTGAATATATTTGCATGTATCTTCATCAAGGGGATTAGCCTGAAGTTGTCTCTTTTCTTGTGCTTCTGCCGAGTTTTAGTATCAGACTAATGCTGGCCCCATAGAATGAGCTCATGAGGAGTCTTGTCTCCTTAATTCTTTGGAATATTTTCGGTAAGAATGGTATCAGCTCTTCTTTATACATCTGGTAGAATTTAGTTTGAACTAATTTCTCCTAGGCTTTTTTATTGTTGTTCATTTCTTTTTATTACAGATTCAATTTCAGAACTTGTTATTGTTATGTTCATGATTGAATTTCTTTCTGGTTCAGTCTTGGGAGATTCCATGCATCCAGGAATGTATCTATTTCTTCTAGATTTTCTAGTTTGTGTGTATAGAGGTGTTTAGTCTCTGAGAGTTTTCTGTATTTCTGTGAGGTCAGTGGTAATGTCCCCTTTATCACTTCTGGTTGTCTTTACATGGATATTCTCTCCTTTTTTCTTTGTTAGTCTAGCTAGCAGTTTCTCTATCTTATTAATTTTCTTCAAAAATCCAAACCCTGTATTTCTTGACCTTTGGCATGGTTTTTCTCATCTCAGTTTTCTTCATCTCAGCTCTGTTTTTTTGTTATTTCTTTTTTTCTTCTAGCTTTGGGGTTCATTTGGTCTTGGTCCTCTAGCTCCTGTAGTTGTGATGTTAGGTTTATAACTTAAGACCTTTGTAACATTTTGATGTGGGTGATTAGTTATATAAACCTCCCTCTTAACACTGCTTTAGCCACATCCCAAAGATTCTGGTCTCTTGCTTCTTTCTCATTAGTTTCTAATAATTTCTTGACTTCTGCCTTAATCGTATTATTACAAAAGTCATTCAGGAACAGGTTGTTTGATTTCTATGTAATTGCATGGTTTTGAGAGATTTTCATAGCATTGCTTTCCACTTGTATTGCACTGTGGTCTAAGAGTGTCCTTGGTATGATTTTGTTTTTTGGGTTTTTTGTTGTTGTTGTTGTTGTTGCTGCTCTTTTACTTTGCTTAGAATTGTTCTGTATGACTGTGTGGTTGAGTTTAGAGTACGTGCCATGTGTTAATGAGAGGAATGTATGTTATTTTTGGGGGGATGGAGAATTCTGTAGATGTATATTAGGTCCATTTACTTAAGTGATGAGTTCAGTTCCTAAATATCTTTAATTTTCTTCCTTAATGATCTGTATAATTCTGTCAATGAGATGTTGAAGTCTTTTACTTTTATTTTGTGGAATTTCAAGTCTCTTCATAGGTCTCTAAGAACTTGCTTTATGAATCTAGGTGCTCGTATGTTGAGTTTGCATATATTTCGTATAGTCAGTTAGATCTTCATGGTAAATTGAATCCTTTACCATTATGTAATTCCCTTCTTTGTGTTTTTGATATTTGTTGGTTTAAAGTCTGTTTTGCCTAAAATTAGAATACAAACTCTTGTTTTTGTCTGTTTTGTGTTTGGCAGATTTTTCTTCATCCCTTTTTTTGTGAACCTATGGGTGTCATTGCATGTGAGCTGGGTATCTTGAAGACAGCAAACAAATAGGTCTTGCTTCTTTATCAAATTTGCCACACTCCCTTTTAATTGGGACATTTATCCTGTTTAAATTCATAGCTAATATTGATATATGTGGATTTGACCCTGTCATTGTGTTGTTAGCTGGTTATTATTCAGTCTCATTTGTGTAGCTGCTTCAAAGTGTCACCGGTCTACATATTTAAGTGTATTTTTGTAGTGGCTGGTAACGATCTTTCCTTTCTACATTTAGCACTCCTTTCAAGACCTCTCGTAAGGCAGGTCTGGTGGTAATGAATTCCCTCAGCTTGTCTGAAAAAAAAGGCCTTATTTCCTCTTCACTTATGAAGCTTAGCTTGACTGGATATAAAATTCTTGGTTGGAAATTATTTTCTTTAATAATAATCAATACCTTCTGGCTTGCAGGTTTTCTGCTGAAAAGTCTGCTGTTAGCCTAATGGGGTTCCCTTTGTAGGTGACCTGCCCTTTCTCTCTAGCTGCCTTCAATAATTTTTCTTTAATTTTTACTTTGAACAATCTAATGACTACGTGTCTTGGGAATGGTCATATTGCATAGTATCTCACAGGGGTCCTCTGCATTTCCAGAATTTGAATGTTGACCTCTCTAGGGAGGTTGGGGAATTTCTCATGGGTGAGATCCTAAAATATGTTTTCAAGTTGCTTGCTTTCTTCCCATCTTTTTCAGGGAAACAAATGAGTCATACATTTGATCTCTTCACATAATCCCATATTTCTCAGAGGTTTGGTTAGTTTTTAAAGTCTTTTTCTCTTTTTTTTGGTCTGACTGAGTTAGTTCAGAGAACCAGTCTTTGAGCTCTGAGAGTCTTTCCTCTCCACCTATTCTGCTATTAATATTTGCAATTGCATTATGAATCTCTTGTAGTGTGTTTTTCAGCTCTCTCAGATCAGCTTGGTTCTTTCTGATAATGGCCATTTTATATCTCAGCTCCTGTATCACTTTATTATAATCTTTAGATTTCTTGAATTGGGGTTTGGCTTTCTCCTGAATGCCAATAATCTTTATTCCTATCCATATTCTGAATTATATTTCTGTCATTTCAGCCATTTCAGACTAGATAAGAAGCCCTACTGAGAAACTAGTGTGGTTGTTAGGCAGAAAGAAGACACTCTGGCTTTTTGATTTTTAGACTTCTTATGCTGGTTCTTTCTCATCTGTGTGGACTGATGTTCCTTTAACTGTGGTGTAATTTGAGTACAGCCAGTAGACTTCTTTTCTTGATGTTTTCAGCAGGCTGAGGCTTTCTGCAGGGTCTTTATTACTGGCTAAAGTTTTGTTTTTTGGTTTCACAGGGGGTTATATTAGCAAAGTACTTCTGGAATTGAAGTTTAGGCTGTGATCTACTAGATGGTAATTAAGTGTAATGGCCAGTAGGTAGGTTCTTGCTCAGTCATGTGGCTCTTCTGTATTTCCTCACGGTTGTAGCCATGCTTCCTCTCAGTGCTCTGAAAGTATAGGCTCCTCTCCCACTTGAATGCTGGCTTCAAATCTTGGCTTGGAATTCCTAGGCTACACACTCCAGCTCTGGGACTAGCTGAGGCTTTTTGTTGCCTCCCCCATTTGGAGGCAGCAGTGGAAGAGACCTTAGGACTGGTTGGGCAGAGGGCCTTTCACTTGTCTCTTGAGGCTCTACCTCAGAGAAATACAGCACTGCTATCAGTCAGTGCAATTATCCAGGATTGGGCAGCTGTGATGTAGTTCTAAGCCGGGGAGACTCTGCCTTGTAATAATCTGAGGGAGCAGGTGGGTCATGGGGGAGACACACTGGCCTCTTCTCCTTAGGGCATCTGCAGCTTGCCGGAAGTGTGGCTAAAGCACTCAGGGTCTTTGCTCCTTTCGTAGTTTGCAGAAGCAAAGGCAATACCACAGCAATGGCAATGGCAGAATCTCTGCCTTTTAATTAGTGTATTAGGACTATCATATTGAAGTCATTATTGATATATTTGAATTTATCAGTCATGTTTGTAACACCTTTTTTATTGCCGGAGAGTTTTTCTCCTTTTCTTTCTTTTTTTGTAAGATTATATCACTTTCTTTAGCAAGTCAATTATACATCTTTAAAATGTTAATAGTTGTTCCAGGGTTTAAAGTATACATTTTTAACTAATCTAATTCGATTTTCAAATAACATTAAACTGACTTATGTAGGCTAGGAACTTATAACTTCCATTATGAAGCTGCTGTAACTTATTTATTCACATGCAATAATCACCCAATACATCTCACAGTTATTACTTCAAACAATTGTCTTATAATCAATTAAAACAATAAAATATTTTATATTTATATATGTCTTCTCCGATACTCTTTATTTCTTTATGTAGATCCAAGTTTCTGTCTTATAATATTCTTGTTTTGCCTGTAGAAAATCTCTTAAGATTGCTTGCAGGGTAGTTCTGCTGGCAATTTTCTCAATTTTTGTTTGTCTGAAAAATGTCTTTATTTTCCTTCATTTTTGAAGAGTAATTTCATTAGATATAGAATTCTAGACTGGTATTTTTTTCAACATTTTAAATATTTTACTTCATCTGCAATTTATGTTTTCTGATGATAATTTTGTTAGAATTTTGATATATTTTCCTGTCTAGGTGTTTTGTTCTCTCTCTCTCTCTCTCTGGTTGTCTTTCTGGCTCTCTCTCTCCCCCTTCCTCCATGCCTTCTTCCATCCCTTTCTCTCTACCTTCTTTTAAGAATTTCTTATTTTTTATAGCTTAAAAATCACAACCCTAAGTGTAAATTGTTAGGCTATTTATTCTGGTTAGTGTTCTCTGAGTTTTATGGATTTGTAGTTTTGTACCATAATTAATTTTGGAAAGTACTCAGTCCTTATTAATTCTGCTTTGGTTTGTTTTTCCTTTCAAGATTTCAATTATATGTATGTTATAACATTTAAAAATGTCCCAAAGTTCTTGGATTTTCTATTCTGCACTTTTTTGAACATTTTTCCTTTATTTGCAAGTTTCTGTTTCAGCATCAAAATTGAATGTTTCTCTTGATGCATCCTCAAGTTCACTTTTTTTTTTTGGCTGTACTGATAAGCTCATCAAAAATGTTTTTCATTTTTTTTTCTTTTTGAGATGGAGTCTCACTGTGTAACCCAGGCTGGAGTGCAGTGGTACAATCTCGGCTGACTGCAAACTCCGCCTCCCAGGTTCAAGCGATTCTCCTGCCTCAGCCTCCTGAGTTGTTGGGATTACAGTCACCCGCCACCACGCCTGCCTAATTTTTGTATTTTCAGCAGAGACAGGGTTTTACCATGTTGACTAGGCTGGTCTCAAACCCCTGACCTCAGGTGATCTGCCCACCTCGGCTTCCCAAAGTGCTGGGATTACAGGCATGAGCCACCGTGCCCAGCCTGTTTTTTTTTTTTTTTTTTTCCATTTCTAACATTTTATTTTCTAAAGGTTGTGATTACATTATAGCTAACATTTTATAACATTTTATTTTGGTCTATTTTAGGATTTCTTTTTGCTTATATTACCTATATGTGCTTGCATTTTTTCTTATTTTTTCATTACAGTTCTTAAAACGTATATCAGAGTTATTTTTAATGATCTTTCTGATAATTTTACCATCAGTGTCATATATGAGTCTGATATTGATGCTTTCTTACTTTCTTCAGAATGTACTTTTTCTTGCCTTTCAGCATGCTTTGTAACTTTTTTGGTTGAAAGCTGGCCATGAAATTTCAGGTAAAGGGAACTGAGATAGATAAGCTGATAATGTGATATTGTATGTTAATCTAACTAGATGTTAAAGTTTCCTATACATGTAGGTGCCAGAGGCTTCAAATTTTTCCAATGGCATTTTTTCTTTCATCTTATTTGTTGTCTTTGGCTTTCTTAAAAATTCTTTCTCACAGAGATTCTGTGTTTTGCTACTCTTTCTGTTTCAATCTACTATTAAAGCTCTGTTGGTGTAGTGGTAAGGTATGGGGGTGGGAAAGCATTTCATTTATTATATGATTAAATCTCAATCTTTTAGTGGGCTATGACATTCAAAAATGTTATTTTAGAGTTTTCTACTATTAAGTAATACAGGATGCTGACTGGAGGGAAGGGGTGTAGCATGGGAAAATTTTCCTCCCCCAGTATGATAAGAATCTTTTCCCTTGCAGAGGAGGATTCTGTTGTAGAGAATGCCCTGAGCATTTCAGAATTTCTGAGTATTTCAGAATTACTGTTCTTTCTCTCCTCTGCAAGAGCCAGAAGGGACTCTTTCTCAGATATTTACCATGTGAACCTGGTGAAATTCTAAGAGGTGAAGCCCTATAAAATGTGGGGAACCCCTAAGAGTGTGGCCCCCAGCAGTATCTCACTGTCATACTACTCCACATTCAGCCCCCAGAAATTCATAATAATTATCATTTAAGTGTTTCTAACAGTTTATAGCTCCAGCAACTTTCTTGAGGTAAGTTTATCTTAGCTGTAACTCTATGGATTCACCTATCACTCCAGATTTTGGTGTAGAAGTTTGCCCTACAAGCTGTTATCTGATGGGTACAAGATAACTTATTTTCAGTTTGTTCAGTGTATTAGTCTGTTCTCACACTGCTAACAAAACCATACCCAAGACTGGGTAATTTATAAAGGAAAGAGGTTTAATTGACTCACAGTTCAGCATGGCTAGGGAGGCCTCACAATCATGGCAGAAGGCAAAGGAAAAGCAAAGTCACGTCTTACATGGCGGCAGGCAAGAGAGTGTGTGCAGGGGGACTCCCTTGTATAAAACCATCAGATCTCATGAGACTTAGTCACCATCATGAGAACAGCAAGGAAAAAATCTGCCCCCATGATTCAATTACCTCCCACTGGGTGCCTCCTACCACATGTGGGAATTATGGGAGCTACAATTCAAGATGAATTTTGGGTGGGGACACAGCCAAACCATATCATTCAGGTTTTTTTGCTCTTACAAGGATGAAAGTAGTGATGGTTTTCATTGTCCTTATTTGTAGGAACGATTAATAGAACCAGACGTCCCATGTTTGACCTTATGTATGTATCTATAATATCTGGCAAAGTGTCTTATGTATATAAGTTGATTAGTAAAAGTTACTGATTGAACTCTTAACCTGTTGGGAAGGAATATGGGCTATATAGTCAGCAGTACAGAAACAGGGTCACAATATGCTTACATTTTTAACAGCCTTAATGCTGAATCATTCACCCTAATATTTTCAACTAAATTTCACTGTTCCAGGTAATAATGGTTTCTGATTATGTCCTTTACTATTTTCTTTACAACTTTAACTCAAACCTAGAGTCTAACTCCCTACAATGCTGAGCTAATGTTGACCTTTCTTCTTTCCTTAAACATCATTGAAATTTTCTTGCTTGCTACAGTATCTTAGATACTTTTTGTACCCATTCACTAACCTCTACAAGCCTCAATCAATATTCTAACCAAAAAAAAGATAAGATTGCTGAGAGCCTGACTCTACAAATAGCTCTTCTAGGTAATATTAGGTAATATTTACTTACTTATTAATATTTCATCTTTTCAAGTGTAACTATAACATTTACTAAGATACATAATATCATGTATCATTTAAAAGTCACAATACATATATAAGGTTTAGGTCATATGAAGTATTTTCTCAGACCAGTATGGATTTAAAATAGAAATCAATAACAGATTTATATGGAAAATCTCCAGATGTTTAGAAATAAAGTACACAACTTTGAATAATACATAAGCCAATGAATAAATCATAAAAGTAAGTAGAAACTATTTTGAACTAAATAAAATGAAAATACAAATTATTAAATTCGATTGGGTACAGCTGAAACAGTGCTTAAAGGAAAATTTGTGGCAATAAACACTCTTATTAGTAAAGAAGAAAGGTTTCATATTGATGTAACTCAGCTATCACCTTAATATGCATAAAAATAAAAGCAAATTGAATCCAACATAAGCAAAAGAAAGGAAACAAAAAACATAAGAGCAGAAATTAATGAGATACAAAATAGAAAAACAATAAAGGAAAATCAATAAAATCCAAAGCCGATTCTTTAGGGAGATGAATCATATTGTTCAGAAAAATAAATTAGGAGAGAGAGACAGAGAGAGAGAAAGAGTAAATTACCAATGTCAGGAATAAGAGAAGGGATATAATTATATAATGGTACAGACATTAAAAGTATAATTATGAGGCTGGCCAAGATGGCTGACTAAGAAGTAGCTAGTGTGTGCCTCTCTCATGGGGAGAAATAGGAGGAACAAGTAAATACATCACCTTCAACTGAAACATCCAGGTACATATATTGGGATTCATCAAGAAACCAACTCAACCCACAAAGAATGGAGAAAAGCAAGGCAGAATGACCACCCACCCAGGAGCAACATGGAGCCCGGGGAGCCTCCCCAACCTAGGGAAGCAGAGAGTGAGTGAACGAACCTGGGGACCTACACTTCTCCCATAGATCTTTGCAACCCTCAGGTCAAGAGATCCCCTCATGAACCCACTCCATCAGGGCCTGCAGTCTGACTTGCAGAGCTACATGGAATCTCAGTGCAGCAGCCATTCAGGCCCATGTGGAGCCCTCAGAGCTTTATGTATCTGAGCTTCCTGGCAAAAGAAACTGCACCTTCAGCAGAGCAGGATGTTAGGCCACTGCACATACCCCCTAGGCAGGGGGATGAATCTAGGGGGCTGAGAAGCGACAGTCTATAGGCCCTGCTATGGCACATAGCAGGATAAGACCCACTGGCTTGGAACTCCAGCCAGCCACTGGTAGCAGTGTTACACCTTCCTGAGATGGAGCTCCCCGGGTGAGGGCAGGCTGCCATCCTTGCTGTTTCATGGCCTTAGCTGTTGTTTACTTCAGTGCAGCCACTCCTTTTTTTTTTTTTTTAACATAGTTCCATGAATCTGCTTCTCCTCACTATGCAGGACCTCACCACCAAGGTCACCAGGCACCCTCGCCAGTGTTTTACAGCTGGCAGTGCTTCTTAGCCTCTGTGAGATGGAACTTCCAAGGGAAGGGATGAGCCACCATCTTTGCTGTTTCACAGCCTTAGCCATTTTTACCTTCAGGCTCTACAGAGTCCAAGGCAACTAGGGACTGGAGCTATCCCCCAGCACCGTTCTGCAGCAGCTCTATGCAGAAGCAGCCAGTCTGCTTTTTCATGTGAATCCTTCATTTCTTTTCACTGGGTAGGATCTTCTATCTGAAGTTTACAACCAGCCCCACTGGTGTGTTCAGGCTGGCAACAGGTCAGTATCTCCCTGATGGACCTCCCAGAGGGAGGGGAATGCCACCATCTTTGCTGTTTTACAGGCTTCACTGTTGATAACTGCATGTTCTGGAGAATCCAAAGTGACTAGGGACTGGAGTGCAGCCCAGGAAATTGCAGCAGCCCTATGGAAAAGTGGCCACACTGTTTGTTACATGGGTTGTTAATTCATATCTCCTCAGTGGGTGGGTCCTCCTGGCATGAGTCTCCAGCCACACCCTGCTGGGGCTATCAAGCCAGTAGCAGCTCTGACATTCCCTGGTACAAAGTTCCCAGTGGAAGAGTGGGTTGCCATCTTTGCTACCTTGCAGCCATTGTCCTTGCCGTGGCCAGGCTCTGGAGGGTCCATGGTGACCAGGGGCTGGTCCAGATCTCCAGCACAGAGCACCCACCTCACAGAAAAGTAGTCAGGTTGTTCTCCATGCAGACCCTAGTCCACACTTCCCCTCATGGGGCAGGGATGCACAACCTGGGACTCTAGCACAACCACCCTGCTACCACCTGACCACTTCAATCAGAGGCAGCCCAGCAGTTACAGGAACAGCTACATGCAGATAAGTAAGAACCAACACAAGAACTCCAGCAACTCAAATGGCCAGAGTGTCTTATGTCCTCCAAACAACCACAGTAGTTCTCCCTTAACTGGGAAGAATTGGCTAAAATGACAGGACTACAATTCAGAATGTGGATAGGAATGAAGGTCATCAAGATTTAGAAGAACAGTAAAACCCAATCCAAGGAAACTAAGAATCATAATAAAATAATGCAGGAGTTTACAGATGATATAGCCAGTATAAAAAAGTACCTAACTGATCTGACAAAACTGAAAAACACACTACAAGAAGTTCACAATGCAATCACAAGTACTAAAAGGAGAATAGACCAAGCTAAGAATCTCAGAACTTGAAGACTAGCTTTCTTAAATGAGACAGCCATATTAAAATTAAAAAAAAAAGAATAAAAAGGAACGAATAAAATCTCTGAAAAATATGGGATTATGTAAAGAGGCCAAATCTACTAATCATTTACATCCCTGAAAGGGATGGAGAGAAAGCAAACAACTTGGAAAACATATTTCAGTATATCATCCATGAAAACCTCCCCAACCTTGGTAGAGAGGCCAGCAATCATACTCAGGAAATATCAAGAACCTCTGTAAGATTCTATACAAGATTATTGTCAAAATACATAATCATCAGAATTCCCAAGGTGAAAATGAGAAAAAGAATATTAAAGACAGCTAGACAGAAGGCGCAGGTCACCTACAAAGGGAACCCCATCAGGCTAACAATGGACTTCTCAGCAGAAACCCTATAAGCCAGAGAAGATTGGTGGTCTGTATTTAACATTTGTAAAGAAAAAAAATATTCAAACCAAAATTCTGTATGCAGTAAAATTAAGCTTCCTAACTAAAGGAGAAATAAGATCCCTTTCAGATAAACAAATACTAAGGGGGTGTTTTACCACCAGACCCACCTTACAAGAGATCTTGAAAGGAGCATTAAATATAGAAAGAAATAACCACTAGCAGCCAATACAAAAACACACTTCAATACTCAGACCATAGACACTATAAAGCAACCACAAAATCAAGACAGCATAATAATCAGCTAACAGTACAATGACAGAATCAAATCCACGCTTATCAATACTAACCTTGAATGTAAAGGGGCTAAATTCCCTATTTATAAGGCACACAGTGGCAAGCTGGATGAAAAGAAAGACCTAGTGGTAAGCTGTGTTCAAGAGACCCATTTCACATGCAATGACATCCATAGGCTCAAAATAAAAGGATGGGGGAAAATCTACCAAGCAAATGAAAATCAGAAAAAAAGCAGGAGTTGCAATCATAATTTCAGACAAAACAGACTTTAAACCTCAAAGATCAAAAATTACAAAGAAGGGCTATACTTAATGGTAAGTGGTTAAACTCAACAAAAAGACAAAACTATCCTAAATATACCTGCACCCAACACAAGAGCACAAGTTTATAAAGCAAGTTCTTAGAGACCTACAAAGAGACATAGGCTCCCACACAATAATAGTGGGAGACTTCGACATTCCACTGACAGTATTAGACACATCACTGAGGCAAAAATTTAACAAAGATATTCAGTAACTGAACTTGACATTTCATCAAATAGACATGAGACATCTACAGAACTCTCCAGACAAAAACAACAGAATATACATTCTACTCGTTGCCATATGGCACACACACTAAAATTGACCACACAATCAGAGAAAAAAACAATTCTCAGCAAATGAAAAAAAAATGAAATCATGCCAAACACACTCTTGTAGCACAGTGCAATAGAAATACACATCAAGGCTAAAAAAATTGCTTAACACCATACAATTACACGAAAATTAAACTACATGTTACTGAATGACTTTTGCATAAATAATGAAATTAAGGCAGAAATCAAGAAGTTTCTTGAAACTAATGAGAACAAAGATACAAAATACCAGAATCTCTGGGACACAGCTAAAGCAGTATTAAGAGAGGGGATTTATAGCACTAAATGCTCACAACCAAAAGTTGGAAAGATCTCAATTTAATGACCTAACATCACAACCATGAGAACTAGAAAATCGAGAGCAAACAGAACCCAAAGCTAACAGAAGACAAAAAATAATCAAACTCAGAACTAAACTGACAGAGGTCAAAACAAACAAAAATTTCAAAAGATCAATGAATTTAGGATTTGCTTTTCTGAAATAAAAATGAAAATAGATAGAATGCTAGGTAGACTAATAAAGAAAGAAGAGAGGATTCAAAGAAACACAATTAAAAATGGCATAGGGTATGTTACCTCTAACCCCACAGAAACACAAACAACCATCAGAGACTACCCTGAATACCTCTATGCATACAAACTAGAAAACCTAGACAAGATGAATAAAATCCTGGACACATACAACCTCCCAAAACTGAACCAGAAAGAAATTCCTCTTTTGAACAGACCAATAATGAGCTCTGAAATTGAATCAGTAATAAATAGCCTACAAACCAAGAAAAGTTCTAAAACAGATAAATTCACAGCTTAATTCTACCAGATGTACAAAGAGAGCTGATACCATCTCTACTAAAGCTATTCCAAAAAATTGAAGAGAAGGGACTCCTCCCCTACTCATTCTGAGGCCAGCATCATCCTGATATCAAAACTTGGCAGAGACACACACACAAAAAAACTTCAGGCCAATAACCATGATGAACATTGATGCAAAAATCCTTAACAAAATACTGGCAAACTGAATCCAGCAGCACATCAAAAACCTAATCCATCATGAGCAAGTAGGCTTTATCCTTGAAATACAATGTTGGTTCAACATACATAAATAAATAAACATGATCCATCACATAAACAGAACTAAAGACAAAAACCACTTGATTATCTAAATGGATGCAGAAAAGGCTTTCAATAAAATTCAACATCACTTCATGTTAAAAACTTGATGAACTACGTATTGAAGGACCATAATATAAAATAGGAGCCATCTATGGCAAATCCACAGCCAACATCATACTGAATGAGTAAAACCTGGAAGCAATCCCCTTGAAAACCATCACAAGCAAAAATGCCATCTCTCTCCACTCCTATTCAACGTAGTATTGGAAGTCCTGGCCAGAGCAATCAGGCAAGAGAAAGAAATAAAGGACATCTAAATAGAAAGTGAGAAAATCAAACTATTTCAGTTTGCAGATAAGATGATTCTGTATCTAGAAAACCCCATCGTGTTGGCCCCAAAACTCCTTAAGCTGATGAATAACTTCAAGAAAATTTCAGGATACAAAATTGACATACAAAAATCACTAGCATTCCTATATAGTAACAACAGCCAAGCTGAGAGCAAATAAGGAATGCAATCTCACTTACAATAACCACAAAAGGAATAAAATGCCTAGGAATACAGCTAACCAGACAGGTAAAAGATCTCTACAATGAGAATTACAGAACACTGCTCAAAGACATCAGAGATGACACACAAAAATAAGGAAGACATTCCATGTTCAGGGATAGGAAGACTCAATATCATTAACATGGTCATACTACCCAAAGCAATTTTTAAATTCAGTGCTATTTCTATCAAACTATCAATGACATTCTTCAAAGAACTAGAAAAAAAATTTTTAAATTCATATGGAATCAAAGGAAAAAAAAAAAGCCCAAATAGTCAAGACAATCCTATGTAAAAAGAACAATGCTGGAGGCATTATGTTACCTGACTTCAAACTATATTACAGGGCTACAGTAACCAAAACAGCATGGTACTAGTGCAAAAATAGGCACATAGACAAAGGGAACAGAATAGGGAGCCCAGCACTAAGGTTGCACACCTACAACCATCTGATCTTTGAAAAAGCTGAAATAACAAGCAACAGAGAAAGAATTTTGTATTCAATAAATGCTGCTGAGATAAAAAGCTAGCCATACGCCAAAGATTGAAACTGGGCCCCTTTCTTACAGCATACACAAAAATCAACTCAAGAGAGATTAAAAACTTAAATGTAAAACCCAAAACTATAAAAACCCTAGAAGACAACCTAGGCAATACAATCCTGGACATAGGAATGGGCGAAGGTATATAAAGTTTGCTTAATATTTAAAAATTGGTAAACGTAAATCACCATACTGACAGACTAAAGAAGAAAAACTGCATGAACATATAAAAATATGAGTACAAACCGTATAGCAAAATCCAACATACATTCCTGGAACAAACTCTCAGAAAGTTGTAGGAACTTGACAGAAACTTCCTTCAAACTGGTAAACAGCATCTATATATTAAAAAAAAACAAAAACCTGCAGTTAATATCATATTTTAAAATGAAACGCTTAATTTAATGTGTCAAATTGGTTAGGCTATGGTGCCTAGGTTTTTGGTCAAACAGTAGTTTAGATGTTGCTATCAAAGTTTTTTTTAAAATTAATTTATTTATTTATTTGTTTATTTTTGAGATGGGGTCTTGCTCTGTTTCCCAAGCTGGAGTGCAGTGGCATGATCTCAGCTTACTGCAGCCTCCACCTACTGCGTTCAAGCATTTCTCCCACCTTGGCTTCTCAAGTAGCTGAGACCACAGGTGTGTGCCACCATCACTCACTAATTTTTGTATTTTTTGTAGAGAAGGGGTTTTGCCTTGTGCCCAGGCTGGTCTCAAACTGTTGAACTCAAGCTATCTGCCCTCCTTGGCCTCCCCAAATGCTAGGATTATAAGCGTGAGCCACTGTGCCCTACTGAAAGTATTTAGATGCGATTGACATTTAAATCAGTAGACTTTGAGAAAAGCAGATGACCCTCCATAATATGGGTGGGGCTCATCCAATCAATTGAAGGCCTTAAAAGAAAAAAGACTGTGGTCTCTCTAAAAAGAAGGAACTCTACCTCCAGACTGCCTTTGGAATCCATCTGTAACATCAGCTCCAGCCAGTATTTTTAACCTGCTGGCTTTCTGTGCAGATTTTTTACTTACCAGCCCCCACAATAGGAGACAATTTTCTAAAATGATCAATCATTTTCCCAATCAGTACACATACACACACACACACACACACAGAGGCACAACCTTACACACACATTCTGTTTGTTCTGTGTTCTGTTTTCTCTGGCAAAATCTAATTTAATTAACCAGAAGATTAAAAAAAATACAAGATAAGAATGCCTACTGTCACTAGTTCTATTCAACTTTATACTGGAATCTTGCTATAAGATCAGACTAAAATAAGAAATAAAAGACATAAAGACTGCAAAGGAAGAAGTATAACTGTCTTCCTTTTCAGATAATATGATCATGTTTATAGTAAATCCTAAAGAATATACGCACGTTAGCATGAAAATCAGTTTAGCAAGTTTGCAGAATAAAATGTCAATATACAAAAGTCAATTGCATTTCTATGAACAAGGAGTGAAAAATTAAAAGTTGAAATTTTAAAAGTGAAACTATTAACAATGGCACAAAAATCTTAAACATTTGGAGATAAATTTGACAAAAGATATGCAAGACCTATGCCTTGAAATCCATGAAGCAAGCATAAAGAAGACATATTAAATAGAGAGGTAAACTATGATCATGGATTGAAAGATTTGGAGATGTTAAAATGCCATTGCTTCCAAAATTGACCCATAAATGTAATAGAATCTCAGTCAAAATTCCAGCATCCTTTTAGAAAAATTTTGGAGCTGAATATGAAATTTGTATGGAAATTTACAGAGCCTAGACTGGCCAAAATAATTTTAAAATGGGATAAGAAGTTAAAGAAATAATATTACCTGATATCGATATATAACATAAAGGTAAATTAATCAAGACAATGTAGTACTGATATACACTTTGACATATATAAATAGAACAGAATAATGAGTACAGTGCTGGACCCACATGTACACGATCAATTGACTTTCATCAAAGATGCCAAGACTATTCCGTGGGGAAATATTAATATTTTCAAAAAACGATGCTGAGAAAATTGGATTGCTACATGAAAAAATAAATGAACCTCAACCATTATATCCCACCATGTACTCAAACTAATTAAAATGACTCATAAGTCTATAAAAGTTAACAGTATAAAATTTCTAGAAGAAAACAAGGAGAAAATTTTAGTCACTTTGCATTTGCCACAGATTTTTAAAATACAACACAAAAAACTTTTTGTCAACTAAAAATGCAAATTTAAAGTTACATAAAATTCAATAAATAACTTTATAAAAATCAATACATTGAAATTCATCAACATAAAAAACATTTTTTTCTTTCAAAGATACTGTTATAAAAATCAAAAGGCAAACCAAATACTGAGAAAAAAATTTACACAAATATCCAACACAATACTTGTATCTATGCTATATAAACATTAGAATATAAACAACCCAATCAAAATGGGCAAACATTTGAGCAGAAAGTTTAATTAAGAAATACAGACATGAAATAAGCACATAGAAAGATATTCAACATCATTAGTCATTTTGGACATGTGAAACAAAAACATGTTGAGATACCCCTACACTCCTCTAGAATGTCCGAAATTAAAAAAAAAAAAAAAACTTAAAGTATTTGGTAGGTATTTAGAGCAAATAGGGCTCTCATATACTGCAGGTGGCAACGTCAAATGGTACAGCCTCTTTGCAAAACAGCTTAGTGGTTTTTGAAAACATTAAACATGCAACTAGTGTATGATTCATAAATTTATCTTCTAGCTAACTACCCAAGAGAAATAAAAACATATGTCCACAAACTGATTTCTTACCCAAATGCTCATAGCAGTTTTATCTATAATAGTCAAAAACTGGAAAAAACCTAATGTATATCATCAGGTCAATAAACAAATCATTACATATGCATTAGTATACCACTCTGCAATGAATATCAATTAACTATTGTTAGAAACAATGGTGAATGGATCTCCACAAACAATTAGGCCCAATAAAAGAAACTCCACTAAAGATGGTATATAATACATGATTGTATTTATATAAAAACTCTAAAAAAACACAAACTAATCCATGGTGACAAAAAGCATGTTTGTCATGGGTTGCTGGGCACCCAGACAGTGTCAGAGATTGGTAAGAGAGAGGAATAACAAAGGCATGTGAGAAATATTTTGGTGATAATGAATATGTTTATTATCTTGATTGTGTTTATGGTTTTATGAATATATATTTACATCAAAGGGCATCAAATTTTGCAAGTTAAATATATGCTGTTTAACGTATGGCAGTTTTACCACAACAAACTGCTTAACATGCAAAGGAAAAACATAAACACCTCAATAAAACAACCAAATAAATTAAAGAGTTGGCATGTACAATGTGACCCTGATTTCTTCAGCTATTTGGTCTCATTAAAAAGGGATTGCTCTAGTATTAAAAGGAATTAAGAAAGATAGTATGCAGATGAAATACATGGCCTTGAATAAGATCCTGGATGTAAAGATTTTTTTCTTGCAAAAATTGGTACATTTGAAAACTGAGGATTAGATGATGCTAGAAAATTATTATTAAAGTTTAGATATTATAGTGTTAGTTTTTGTTTTTTGTTTTTTTTTTTTTGAGACAGAGTCTCGCTCTGTCGCCCAGGCTGGAGTGCAGTGGCGCGATCTCTGCTCACTGCAACTTCCGCTCCCAGGTTCAAGTGATTCTCCTGCCTCAGCCTCCCGAGTCGCTGGGCACACCTCCATGCCCAGCTAATTTTTCGTATTTTAGTAGAGACGGGGCTTCACCATGTTGCCCAGGCTGGTCTCAAACCCCTGAGCTCAGGCAATCCGCCCGCCTTGGCCTACCAAAGTGCTAGGATTAGAGGCATGAGCCGCCGTGCCCGGCCATGTTTTTAGTTTTAAGAGTTGTACAATTAAGTAAAGATTGAATGTGAAGATATCTGTGTTTACTTTAAAATAGTTAAGTATTAAAAAATAAAATATGATAAGAAAAAAACTGGGAAATAGGCTTCTGGTTAGTGTTTTAATGATGAATGTTTGATTTTCTGGAATAGATTACAGATATTAAGTTGAAGATACCTATTCTACCATTCAAATAATAAATATGTTGCATTAGACTCATGAACAGAAAGTGAGCCATTTAAATGGAGTCTACAGTAAAAATGATGGAATGATGATGCTCCATTTACATCCTATGGTCTGACCTACTATAAGTCAAAAGGAAGACCCATATAGCTAATTTTTAGGTTATATTTTCCTCTAAAAACATAGTATATGAGGAAAAGAGGTTTCCATTGAAAACTTCTCTCTTCTCTTTCACTTATTTTGGCTGGTATTTTATGCCTGTTATTACAGCTCTTGTCATTCTTTCCCTCTAGATTCACACTCTCACATTACAGCTACATCACAAAAAAACCTTTTCCTCTTACCAGATTCTAGTGGCACTATGAATGAATGAATTTAGTCATTCACTTATTCAATAAATATTTGCTGAATGCCAATTAGAATGATTTTGAATTTCATACATTATAATTATCTGTGGAGTTTTTAATATCTAGAAACCTCTGAGAGCCACAGTTGAAAATGTTCACTCATTGAGGCTTGTGTGGGACCTAGAGAACTCTATTAAAATAAATACAAACAAACAAAAAATATTCACAGATGCTTTTCATTCTGTGCCGTGGTTGAGACTCACTAGCCTAGTGTATGACACTCTCTGTGCTAAGCACTGAATATCATAACTAGGTATAAGACAGATATATTTCTTGTTCCCATTAAATTCATACACTTAGTCTCTTATTCATGATTCAGTCTTATGATTTTGGATACTATCTTAATCTATTCAGAATGTTATAACAAAAAAAATAGGCTGGCTGGGTTCAAAACAAAAGACATTTATTTTTCATAGCTCTAGAGGCTGGGAAGTCTAAGATTCAGGCATCTATAGATTATGTGTTTAGTGAAGACCCACTTCCTGGTCCATAGACTGCCTTCTTCTCTGAGTCCTCACATGGTAGAAAGGGTGAGTTATCTCTCTGGGATCTCTTTTAGAATAACACTAAACCCATTCATGAGGGCTCTACCCTATGACCTAACAGCCTACCAAAGGCCTCACTTTTTATTACCATCACATTGGGGATTAGGATTTCAACATATAAACTTTGGGAAGATGCATTCAGTCTACAGCACTTCACTCCTAGTCCCCACAAATTCATGTCCTTCTTATATGCAAAATACATTTATTTTATCCCAACAGACCCCAAATCTTATTTCATCATTAACTCTAGGGTATAAAATCAAAAGTCTCATCTAAATATTATTTAATTAGAAATGGATGAGAGTCAATGTATGATTAATCCTGAGACAAATTGTTCTCCAGCTGTAAACCTGTGAAACCAAACAAGTTATGTGCTTCCAAATTACAGTGGTGGGACAGGCTTAGAATACATATTTTCATTTCAGAAGGGAGAAACAGGAAAGAAGAGGCTATGGACCACAAGTAAGTCCAAACTACAAGGCAAACTCCTTATCTTAAGGCTTGACAATAACCCTTGTTAGTTCCACATTCTGCCCTCCAAACCCACTGGCGTAGAGGTTCCACTTTCTGGACCCATTGATGCAGCAGTCCTGCCCTGAAAGCTCTGGTTGGAAAGGAAAAAAAAAAAAAAAAGAAAAGAAAAAAATAACCTTTTTTTTTTTGAGAAAATAAGAGATTTCATTTTGGATATGATGACTGTCAAAATGTAATATCCAAGTAGATATGACTTGATGGCATTTACTATAGACTGAATGTTTGTGTTGCCCCAAAATTAATATGAATGAGCATGGCTATATTTCAATAAAACTTTATTTATGGACATAAAACTTTCAATTTGATTTGATTTGATGTATAATTAAATATTCTTTTTCAGAATTTTTGCTTAACCACTTGAAAATATAAATATTATCTTTGGTTTGCTGGCCATATAAAACAAGTCGGGGACTAGATTTTTCCTATGTGCCATGGTTTGCCAATCCCTGGCCTAGATGATGAATATTATAGTGTCTTCACTAGGGCAAAGATGGAGAGTCAAGAGCATATACTAGAACCAAGACTTTCAATTGACAGAATGCAAGAAATATTACAGAGAAAATAAATGGGAAGAACTCCTAGTTTCTGTCTTGGGGAACTAAATAGACAGTTTTATTGTTCACTTACCAAGAAATACAATGGCATAAGTACGTTTACAAGAATGTTATAACTTAACACCTAATGTTAGTTAAGTTATAACATTAGGTGTTTTGAGGTTGGGTTCTTTCTCCAACTACATTCTCACAGACTTTTACTTAAATTTCTTTCATTCGTTCTCCTAGCTAACCATATAAACTTTAATTGTTAAGGTCAGACTTAAGATTTCAGCTTCTCCAGAAAACTTTTTCTTATTTCTATTGCCATCACTGACTTGAAAACATGAAGGGGAAATAAAGATATTCCCAGACAAACAAAAGCTGAGAAATTTCATCAACACCAGACCTGTCCTACAAAAAATGCTGAAGGGAGTAGAAAAGGACATTAGAAAGCAATAGTAATCTCCTGAAGGTACAAAACTCATTGATTATAATAAGTACACAGAAAAACACAGAATATTATAACACCGTTACTGTGGTATACAAAGCACTCTTATCCTAAGTAGAAAGACTAAATAATGAATCATTCAAAAATAATAATTGCAACAACTTTTCAAGACATAGTACAATAAGATATAAATAGAAAAAAATGATTAAAGGTGAGGACACAAAATGTAGGGGTAAAGTTTTTATTAGTTTCCTGTTTGTTTGTTTACACAAACAGTGTTATCAGGTTAAAATAATAGGTTATAAGATAGTATTGACAAGCCTCATGGTAACCTGAAACCAAAAACCATACAATGAAGAAACAAAAAATAAAAAGCAGACAACTAAGTAATATCACCAGAGAAAATTACCTTTACTAAAAAAAGACAGAAAGGAAAGAAAGAAGGAAGAGAAGACCACAAAACAACCAGAAAACAAATAACAAAATCGAAAGAGTAGAAGTACTTATCATTAGTAACACTGAATGAACTAAACTTTTAATGAAAGCCAAAAAAAAGTCTTTAAGATGTTTAATTCCTCTTTTACTTTCATTCTTAAACTTTTCCCCTCATGGACTCTCATTTTCACCCTCAGTTTTACTTTATCCTTTCCTTGGGATTTTAAACTCTTACAATGATTTACTAAACTTCTTTCTGTATGAGCCAGATGAAAAACTGCAAATAAGTGCAAACCACTGCAAAATACTGAATTGGAGAAAAACATTAATTCCACTGGAAGCTTGACTGCATCCACACTGCACTCATGCTGTTTAATTTCAACTAAGTATTTCTCGATTCTCAGAAATCCTTCATCCTTTTCCTTATCTCACGTTGACTTCCTATCACATTCCTCACAGCTGTTGTTCAAACCTCTTCACTCTCCTCCCAGGTCACTAGAAGGCACAGATATTGCTGCTTACTTATTTAGATGGAGTCTATCCAAGGCATTGGGGCTCAGAAACCAGTACCTTACCTCAAAATATAGCACTTTGACATGGTAAACTGAGGAAGCCTCAAGGTCTCTCTGATCTTGCCCCCTGTCAACAACCACAGTTGCTCAATCCTCTGTCTTTCCCCAAGGACAGGATAAAGTTTTTTTCTCTGATGTTCCCCTATCTTTCTAAAGCCTGGACCTGCTAAAGAAGAAAACAATTGCCTCGAAGCCCTTCCCTGAGTTTTCTTTAACTGAACTTATATTGCAGGAAGAAAGACTGAAGTCTGTTAACACACTTGGACAGACTTTTGTCGCAAACCATTGTCTGCTCTGCAGACCCAACAGACTTTGTCTCAGACTACGGTTCTCCAAGCTCATTGAATTCCCTTAAAAATTATGTACTACCCCCGCTAAAATCATCCACACTCCCCCATCTCTTTTTGACCTTAGGAGAAGGGTATATAATTACCTTTACCCCATCTCGTTTGTGGTGGGGTAATCACTGCGATATTTCCCTTCATACATGCTAATAAATCTGTATGTCATTTCCCCTATTAAGCTGACTTTTGTGAGTTGATTCTTCAGCAAACATATGAAGGACAAAAAGGAAGCTTTCCCTCTGTGCCCACAAGAGCAGTCTCTTTCATTTTTTCACTTTAATTCAAAACCTTCCTATATGTTAATTCACTTTTAAAATTCTTTCTAACAAATTCAAAGCAAGAGCAGTTCTTCTGCCATTCTAAGACTTTTATCTCCATCTGTTAACTGAAACACGTTCATTCCCGCTCCTTTTAGAATCATACTCTAACAGTTATCCCTCTTTTTCTGGCATTTTTGAATCCCTGTTTATTAACTGCTTTTCTTTTTGCCTAAAAGCATACTGAAATTTCCTGATCCTTAAATAAACACTTTTTGTCCTAACTTTCCTAACAATCTGAATTACCATTCTGTTTTTCCATTAAACAAAAGTGTACAGGACATCCATCCGAAGAAACAGACTTAGCCCTATACTTTTTAAGCCAACCTAATTCATTCAGGCTTGGATCTCATATTGGCAAACCAAGGATAATGAAGAAGAGCTGAATGCTTTTTAAAGAATAGTAAGGTCTATCTCATAATTCCCAATTTTGTCTCTGTTTCACTTTACCTCTGCCTGGCTCTTAACCTATGCCTTTGCCTCTCATTTTAAGTTTGATGCCCATCCTGTGGACAAAATGATTTTTATGTCATTTCTGGTTTCTTGAAGAAACCTCTCTAACTCTTCTCACCCTTTCTTTGTACAGTAGTATTCTGCAAACCAACTCCAGGTGCCTGCTTCCTTGGTGAGCTTTCTTTGGAGAAACTGTTCTGACACAAAGCAGATAAAATAGCATTTCCTAGTCACCTACACCGAGAGAGAGGATTCTGCAGCACAGACTATGGCATTCTGATCTATGTGATACTACAATTACTACTAGCTAACATTTTTTGAATGTTAGAAGCCAAATTATCATTCTAAGCCCATTATAGGTATTACCTCATTTGATTTTCACAACTCTTTAAGGTAGGTACTGTTGCTGTATCAATTTTACGTAGGAGGAAACTGAGTCACTGAATTACTAAGGCCTTTGCTTATGATGATGCACAGCTGGTAAATGGGAGAAAAGGGATTTTAATCAGCCAGATTATCTCCAGAAACTATGCTATTCAGGCAAACTTTTTCTAATGAGTTTGTACACAGTTTAAAGAAGAGCTCTTAACTGCTTCAATCATCATTTAATACGTTCTTTTTAAAACTGTAGAATACCTCCTGGGAGCCTCATTTTGGAAAAAAATGGCTAATAATCAAGTCAAGATTTAACTGGGTTGCCTCTTCTACTGATTGAATTTTATAATCGATAGCCTCAAATGTTGCCAACTTATCTAAGCATACCAACCAGAAATGAAGTCACAAGCACCACCGTATTAACTACATGGTATAAGTATTTTAACTGTCAAGAACAACAGTTGGTTTGTGAATAATTTTTAAACTTGACAAACTTCATCTATAAATTAGATTCATTTAAGTGGCTATACAAATCACTTATGTCTTCCTCAAGAACTTTTTATTTAATGTGCTAATTTGTTTCTGACATAATTGGACATAATACAGCTACTGATTAAAAGAGCACTTCTGCAAAGGCAGAATGGTAAGTAGCTATAAGACCAAGTGCAAGAAACTCTAGAAAAACTTTCTTTACTGTATTTTGTCCACAAAGGGTAATTCAGGCCAGAGGAAGGCCTGTTTAGAAGTTTCCCTAAGAAAAAAGATGAGTGACTAGGTAGAAACAGTACCTTACATTTATATGGCACTTTATATTGTGTAAAGCATCTTTACTTCCATTCTTACAATTGTGGCTCGCAACTCTGCTGGGGTAGACAAGCTGTCAAGATTTCTTTTTTTTTCTCTTTTCTTTTTTTTTTTTTGAGACGGAGTCTCACTGTCACCCAGGCTGGAGACCAGTGGCAAGACCTCGGCTCACTGCAAGCTCCGCCTCCTGGGTTCATGCCATTCTCCTGCCTCAGCCTCCCCAGTAGCTGGGACTACAGGCACCCGCCACCACGCCCAGCTATTTTTTTTTTTTTGTATTTTTAGTAGAGACGGGGTTTCACCGTGTTTGCCAGGATGGTCTTGATCTCCTGACCTCGTGATACGCCCGCCTCAGCTTCCCAACGTGCTGCAATTGCAGGTGTGAGCCACCACGCCTGGCCTTTTTTTCTATTTTTAAATTTATATCCTGTTTTGTCTTGGTTTACAGGAAGCTCAAAAATACACTGAATAAGGCCAGGTGCGGTGCCTCACACCTGTAATCCCAGCACTTTGGGAGGCTGAGGTGGGCGGATCACTTGAGGTCAGGAGTTTGGGATCAGCCTGGCTAACAAGGTAAAACCCTGTCTCTAATAAAATACAAAAATTAGCCTGAAGTGGTGGCGAGTGCCTGAAATCTCAGCTACTCAGGAGGCTGAGGCAGGAGAATCGCTTGAACCCAAGAGGTGGAGGTTGCAGTGAGCCGAGATCATGCCCCTGCACTCCAGGCTGGGCAACAGAGTGAGACTCCCTCTAAAAAAAAAAAAACAATAAGTAAAATTTAGAAATACAGAAATAAACAGAATAATTTTGTGTAAATATAAGTGCAACTTTATACCTTTTACCTCTATATTGTTCTGACCTTTCCCCCTTACTCTATTCATTTTTTAAAAGTATTTAGCTGTTTAAAGTATTTTCATTATAAGCTTCCACAAGTATTTTTAAAAATATGTAAGATATAAATTCCAAGTATGTAAAAATTGATAACACTTCCTCCTAGCAAAATGATAGGCCCAAGGACTCATCACCAGAGCACAGAACGCAATCTAATCTCACAAGTGCACCTATCAAAAGAACCCTGCTATTTCACATTGTCATAGAAAAAAACTCAGAGTAACATAATGTGATGCACAATACAAACATACACTTAAGCATTATTAAGATAAATTCATAATTTATATGTTCTTCTGCCACTGTTTATTTGGCTAATAATATATCATGAAGATATTTCCATGTAGGTATAGACAGATCTACATTATTTGACTAAATGGACTATTAGACTTTTTCCTATAGAGTTGTTTGAGCTCCTTATATATTCTGGTTATTAATTTCTTGTCAGATGGGTAGTTTGCATATATTTTCTATCATTCTGCGGGTTGTCTCTTCGCTTGGTTGATTGTATGCTTTGCTCTGCAGAAGCTTTTTAACTTGATGTGATCCCACGTGTTCATCTTTGCTTTGGTTGCCTGGACTTGTGGGATATTACTCAAAAACTCTTTGCCCGGTTCAATGTCCTGGAAAATCTCCCCATTGTTTTAGTAGTTTTACAGTTTGAGGTCTTAGATTTAATGTATAATATTTCATTATATGGATGATACTTAAAAATTTAACTCGCTCCCGTTCATAGGCCTTTACAAAAAAGGTGGAACACACTTTATAACATTGTTTTCAATTTCTTATTTTTTGTCTGAGTGCCTTGTTTATATCTTCACTCATTATTCAATTTAGTTGTTTTGTTTTTTTAATTTATTGATTTTTAAGAGTTGTTATATATTATAGAACTTTTCATTTTTCTCTTGTGTGAAAAAATATGTTTCACTGTCTATTAGCAAATGAAAGAAAACAAATGAAAGAGGCATTCTATCTGGCAGAAGAACATTTAGGGTGTAGAAAACAGCAAGAGCCTCAAGTGTAACAAGAAAACTAGTGTGACTTAGATTAAGATAGAAGGGTGAAATAGGAAGCAAAAAAGCAGTTTGCAGTAATGTCATGTAGGGCCTTGTAGACCTTTACAAGAGGCTTATTTTTACTCTGAATAAGAAGGAAAACCATTGGAAGGTTGTAAAAAGATAAAGACATGATCTGACCAATGCTACAAAAGAGCTGTTCTGGCTGATGGGCAGAGTATAGTCTTGTGAGAGGATTGTAGGGCGTGAATAAAATCAAGGAGACTACTTAGGAAGAAAGATAATGTTGGTGCGGACCAGGATTATACTAGTGAGACTTGATCAGATTCTGAATATATTGTGAAGATAAGGAACACACGATTTGCTAACAGATTAGATATGGAATATGAGAACAAGGGAGTTATGGATGTGAAGGGACCCACTTGGACCCCCCAAAATTGTTATGAAGATCATTTTAAACTAGGGATGAGATTCAAAAGATGCAGAAAGAAGCTTTATCTGACCTTCTCCTATCTGACTGAAGGTGAAAACATCTGTTATAAATCCCCTCTTCTGGGCCACCTCACTCCCAGGAAGAAGAAGGAGAGTGAAACTGCAAAAAATACGCTCACGTTTTTCTTGCCAGAAAGGCCAGTGGTACCTGCCTAAATTACCAACCACAAACTCTCGTATCTCTCCTTTGTTCCTCAAAAGTCCCATTTGACTTTCCTAAAGAAAACATGTCTTCTTATAAAAGCCTTTCCTACCCTACTCTTTTTTATAAATTAGGTATTTAAACCTCTATCTCTAATTTGTTAGTGAGCTACTTGTTTTGTGCAGTTTCATATGCATATGATTCAACTTTGACTTTTCTCCTGTTAATCTGTCTATTGTCAGTTAAATTTGGAGGCCCCCAACTATTGTACCAAAGTCAGTAGAGGAAAAGTTTTTCCTCCCATTGAATTCCAAGGTTATTTTTCTGAACAGCTGGGAGGATAGTGTTGCCATCTATAGAGATAAGGAAACCTTAGGGTAAGTGGGTTGTGTGTAAGAGGTCAAAAGCTCAGGTAAATTTTAGATGTTTATTAGATAGCCTAGATTTAAAAAGGCAGGTAAATAGTTAGAAATGAATGTTTGGAGTGTAGGAGAGAAATCAGGCTGGAGATATTAATTTAGGAGTCATTTCTATGGTATAGAAAAACTGGGACCTTTCAGAAGATATATAAAACTGGAGAGCTGAGACCATCAAGGTAGTGAGGTTAAATAGAGAAGTAGACCAAAGACTAAATCCTAAGGCCCTCTAGTGGTTATTAGTAGGATTAATGAGAAGAAACCAGTAAAAAACTTCACACAAGAGAGTAGAAGGGAGGTTACCAGAGCCTAAGGGGGTTGGGGAGATGTTAGACAAAGGATAAAAAATTACAATTAGAGACTTAGTTAGGAGGAATAAGTTCCAGAGATCTATTTTACAGCATGGTTATTATAGTTTATGACAACATATTGTATTCTTAAAAAATGCTAAGAGTGTGGATGTTCATTGTTCTCTCCACAAAGTGATGACTGTATGAGGTAATGCATATGTAAATTAACTAGTTAGCCATTCCACAATGAATATATACTTTAAAACATCATTTTACACAATAAATACAATCTTATCTGTCAATTTAAAAATAAATTAATTTAATTAAATAAACCAGCAAAGAAGAATGGACAATGAGGTAGGAAGATGCATTTCTGAAGCCAAGTAAACAAAATAATTAACGCAGGAAGGAGTAATTGTTATTAAATGCTGCTGATGGGTCAAGCAAAATGAAAACTAAAAATTAATCATTTAATTTAACAATGTGGTGGCGTGAAAGGCACTGTTTCAATGGTAAGAAAAAGCCTATAGTTTTCCAATGAAACTGGTTCAATTGTCCCACAAGAACTGATGTTTATGGCTTCTTTGACTAAATATAGAAATTGATCCTTCTAGTCTTAAAGCTTGAGAAAGATATAATTGTTTTATCTGAGTTTTTTCCTCTGGAAATCAACCATCAGGCCTCCCATATAGCATCAAGGAGCTGAAACTTACCAGATCACTGAACCTGGAAAACGAGATGCCAGAGCCCTCAGCCATCATGATTGCCTGAGTGACCATCTGCTTGCTGTTCACCAACTCTTCTTTCTTATCCTTCCCTAATTCCTGTTTTCCCACAGGATTACATTTCTTCCCTGCTATATAGACCCCTAATTTTAGTCAATCAGGGAAATGCATTTGAGACTCGTCTCCCATCTCCTTGTTGCAGCACCTGAATAAAGCCTTCCTTTCTGGCAATATACACTGTCTCAGTGATTGGCTTTCCGTGCAGTGAGTAGCAGGCTCTATACCGAACCCCAGGTGTTTTGGCAACACAGGAAAGAATGGGAGGAGAAGAAGTTCAAAGGAAGAGCTGACAACTCTTTCAAGGAATTTTGGTTTAAAAGAGTGCAGAGAGATGGCACAGTACCTTAAGGGGAATGTAGGGTCAAGAAAAGGATGTTTACTGACTGTAATGCTCCTTAAAAATGAAAATGAATGGAAAAGAAAGAAGAGAATGCTGCAGCTATGTTCTTGAGTTGGTAAACAAGATGGGGCTAGTGTATTGCTAGACAGAAAAATTAAGAGTTAATAACAGGCAGGAAGGAAGAGAACATGGGTACACATGCTGGTTGGTATATAGATGTGGTGGGGCAGCTGAAGAAACTCAATTCTGATTACTTCAATTTTCTTAGTGAAAAAAGATAGCAATGCCCTTAGATGAACGTGAGGAGGAGGAAGAGGAACACGGGACTGAAGTCCAGAGACTGAGAGACTGAATGAACTAAGGGAAAGACAGCATGATTTCCAGAATCTAATAATTTGGCAGTCACGTATTCAAAGTGAGCATCAGCATGGTGGCGTGTTTCTCTTGGGACATGGTCAACTTAGGAACAAAAGTTATAAATTTACTAATCTTCTCTAACTCTACATGAGAAAAAATTTTTATGTGGTGGGACACAGGAGATTCAAACTCCAATACTGGTTTCCTCCCTTAAAATCTTGCCTAGTACACTGAAATCACTAATTAGGCATTTTTAAAAAGCTCTTCCTGAATTTTTGCAGTGTGTGGAGTTGTTTTACTTCAGTTCATTTATTTAAGTCTTTTTCTTATAAGTTGCAGACGTTTCTCAAATGCCTGGTTAACCTTGATTGCAAATTCATATTTTAGAATGAAGCAACAGATTATGCACTAGATCAGCTACTTAGGAACAATGCCGTGGCTTGGGTGGGACTTTTCTACAACTAGTCTTGCTTTTGAGTGAGTGGCATCAGGGGCAGATGCGCGCTATGCTGGAATGAGCAGTGTTTCATTCTAGAACAGCAGTTCTTTTTTGTTTTTGACACCGAGTTTCACTCTTGTCGCCCAGGCTGGAGTGCAATGGTGCAATCTTGGCTCACTGCAACCTAGGCTTCCCGGGTTCAAGCAATTCTCCTGCCTCAGCCTCCCGAGTAGCTGGGATTACAGGCGCCTGCCACCACACCCAGCTAATTTTGTATTTTTTAGTAGAGATGGGGTTTCTCCATATGGTCAGGCTGGTCTCGAACTCCCAACCTCAGGTGATCTGCCCGCCTCGGCCTCCCAAAGTGCTGGGATTACAGGCGTGAGCCACCGCACCTGGACAGAGCAGCAGTTCTTAATCCTGGCTGCACACTAGGATTACTTGGGGAGCTTTAAATAACTATCGATGCAGGCTTTTCTCCTCAGAGACTCTGATTCAGGTGCTCTCTTCTACATAAGAACGCATATTAGGACCGGGCGTGGTGGCTCACGCCTGTAATCCCAGCTCTTTGGGAGGCCAAGGCAGGTGGATCACAAGGTCAGGAGATCCAGACCATCCTGGCTGATACAGTGAAACCCCATCTCTACTAAAAATACAAAAAATTAGCCAGGCCTGGTGGCGGGTGTCTGTAGTCCCAGCTACTCAGGAGGCTGAGGCAGGAGAATGGCGTGAACCCGGGAGGCGGAGCTTGCAGTGAGCCGAGATCGCGCCACTGCACTCCAGCCTGGGTGACAGAGCGAGACTGCATCTCAAAAAAAAAAAAAAAAAAAAAAAGAATGTATATTAGAATGCAAATAAGTGTGATGAAATTACAGGTGTAGCTTCAAATCGTTTCAAATATTAATAGTAAACATCCCAACACTCCTCATGATTCAATGTTTTAGGCCGGGGATGTGTGTGTTACACAGTATTTGAGAGCTGCTTTTATCTTTCCCAAACCATTCTTCAGAAATTACTTGTTCTGATCTTTCAGGAAAAAAAAAAAAAAATCAAAACTTCACAACAAAGTAAAAAGATAAACATCTGACCTTATAATAGCATGTTAGAACATTTTCAATTGACCCCATTGAAAGTTATTGACACTCCCGGGAAATGTACTTTTTCTGATCATCAAGGCCCAGATGTTCTATGACACCTTAAATTGTAGAACACTGAAGGATGGAATGATTGCTTTTTTCTGTCTAATGGAGAATATAATATCAAAAATTATAATTTTATTGCCTGGTAAGATGGTGAACAGTTTTGTACTTAACCCTGCAAATTTATTTCAACATCTCTGTCCTCAGTAATTATGTAAGTCCATATTTCTCAAATGCTTCTGAAGCTAGCTCTGTTACTTTTCTAGTTTCTCCATTCATAAACTGAATAAAACTTTGACATCCACTCATTACATATTTGTGTAAGAATTATATTATTAATAATTTGAGATACATGTTTTAAGGTTTTGGTAATTTTTTATAGATGGGATTACCACATAAAGAACCACTGGAACAGAGATCAATCCTTGGTCAATGACGATCCCCACAGCACCTTTAGGATCTTTTAAGCATTCCTGATCTCCCTCTTCCAGGGCTACTGACACCAACTGTTGTGTTTTGAGTTGAGAAAAACAAGTGGGGCATATTTTCAGAGATCACATATGACAAAGTTTTAGGCAATTTTGGATTTTTAAAATTGGACACTTTTTACATGCCATTACTGTCTGCCAGTTAGAAACTCATGGGGACCTGGTGATTATCTTTCAAGAAGTCTAAAAGTCCTGTTTTAGGTGCAAGAGGTGCTCTGCAGATGAGTCTGGAAGACTCCACAGCTACCAGGCTTTCATTTTAAAAACTGAAGACTTGAGCACAATGTCCTAGCTTTGTTACCAGTGTTTGAGTCTAAAAGTCTGGAAAATGTCAAACATGATGTAAAGTATTAGATTGGCAGACATCTAGGGGTGTTTCTTTTGTTTAAGAAATGCTGTGGATTTCTGACTGCCAAATTTTAGAGTGGATGAAAGAAGAATTAGTGTCATCTAGTGGTCTGTAACTCTTATGTCTGAAGAATGATTAACACCTGTATTTTCTAAAAAGTGGATTCGTTTGAAAACATACACAGTCTCAGAATTCTGTTTATTTGTAGAGAGTCTTCTTTTTTTTTGTTTAGTCTGGTTTTGCCTGCAGAAGTTATTGACAATGTGTATAGCTGTACTTATATTTATATTTACTTTTTGTGTGTCTATGGCCCTATGAACGAACAAAGTACTTAACTCCTCCTCACAGAGGGAAAGTAATTCACCATTTCCAGTGGTCTACTTGAGTTAGTAGCCCTATGTATCTGGGAATGTCTTCGTGGGGGCCACTTTTGGGGATTAATTGAACATGTGTCTGTCATTTGTCTGTAATACAAGAGAACAATTCAAAAGACAGATTTATAATCAAACAGAAGGAAAATGCAAATAGGTATTATGCTAACAATTAGTCATCATAAAAATCTACTAACAAAAATGCCTTTGAATCAATTTTAATATTTGGTAAGTAAATGCAAAATTATATCTGGATCCATATCATAATTAAACTTATATAATACTCTTAGTCAAGGTAAATCCTTAGACACATCAGACTAGTTTGATAATTTTGATTTAAAAACACATATGGGCCAGGCGCAGTGGCTCATGCCTATAATCTCAGCACTTTGGGAGGCCAAGGCAAGCAGATCACTTGAGGTCAGAAGTTCAAGACCAGCCTGAGCAACATGGCAAAACCCCCATCTCTACTAAAAATACAAAAATTAGCCAGACGTGGTGGCGCACGCCTGTAATCCCAGCTACTCAGGTGGCTGAGTCAAGAGAATCGCTTGAACTCGGGAGGCGAAGTTTGCAGTGAGCCAAGGTTGCATCACTGTACTCCAGCCTGGGCAACTAAGCGAGACTCTGTCTCCATAGATAAATAAATACAATAAAAAAAATAAAAACACATATGAATTATCTGTGATTTAAATATATTGTGGAAGATAATATAATCTATGTTAGTTTGTGTCTCTCCAAAAGCAGACTCTGAGTCACAGAATTTGACTGCAAGAAGTTAATTTGGAAGATGATGTCAGGAAACACTGCGAGAGAGTGAGAAATGGGGAGTTCATCTCATTTTCCCACTGAGAGCCAAAGAACCGGTGTAATATATTCACCAACTCCCTTCACTCTTGGCTGAGTGACGCCCTGAAGTATTAACTACTCAGAACATCTGGCTGATCCCACAAACAAACTGAACATGCTCCAGTAACTAGAAAATAATCCCAGGCACAGAGACACAAAATGCTGTCTGCAAGTACAGTAACTTTCTGTGGTGACCTCCAAGATAGGACAAGGTGATAAATGAGGGGTAGCAAAGCATCTGCTTATATAAGCTAATACTTAATTATTTTGGAGACTGAGTTTGTCTTTTTCATAGAAATTCTAATCAATTTAAACTTTCTAAATATTTCAACCCTGCTTTTCATGACAGATAAGTGAATATTGCTTATACAATATATTGAATTATAATTACTGTGTTTCTAATCAATTATTGGTTTTCATGAATTTCAGACAATTTCTGCTTTCATTGTTGGTATAAATTTGTATATATTATCACTTGGACAAAGTATTAATATCAGTGATGTTTATGTTGGTCCACTGTACCAACTTAAATATAATTTTCAAGTCCATCAAATGACTTCAAGACCCAAAGCTATTATGTTTACTTACTTAATAAGAAAATTTTGTGACTTAATAAAAAAAATTTTGTGACATGTAAACATTTTAAATAAATTAAAATTTATAGGGATAGAGATAGCAAAGGTCATCATGTAAAGTTTTTACTTATTTATACCTGTTTATATTTGCTCTTTGTAAAGCTCCAATTTAGATGAAAAACCAAATGCAGTATGCTTCCCTTATAAGGTTACTTATGAGGTTGAGTATATTTTGAGGTTAAAGATTGAAAAATTCAAATAATATTGTCACCTATTTATATTTGTGTGTATGTATGATACATACATTTATACTAATAAACAAAAGTAGCTTATGTATAGCAAAGAGGAAAAAACTGACAGTTCGCAATTGATCTTGGAGTGTTCAGTCAGCTCTTAATAAATAATAGTAAACAGTGTTTTCTTCTTGACCTTCTCTGTAATAAACCCATATGGCAGAAATTCTTTATCTTGCCAGAAGAATCTCATTGGATAAACTGTTTCCCATCATTAAACATGATATTGGCTGTTAGTTTTTCATGGATGTCCTCTCTCAGTTTGAAGGGGTTCCTACTATTTCTATTTTGGTGAGAGATTTTACCTGGAGTGCGGCTTTTAAATTTTGTCAAATAATTTATTTGCACTTGTTGAAGTAATGTGTATTTTAAATTTTTATCATCTGAAAATGCAAATCAAAACTACAATGATATATTGTGACACTTCAGTTAAAATGGCTTATATCAAAAAGACAGGCAATAAAAATGGTAGTGACAATGTGGAGAAAAGGGAACCCTCATACACTTTTCACGAAAATGTAAATTAGTAAAACCACTATGGGGAACAGTTTGGAGTTTCTTCGAAAACCTAAAGCTACCACATAGTTCAGCAATCCCACCGTTGGGCATATACACAAAAGAAAGGAAATTAGTGTATCAAAGAGATATCTGCACTCCCATGTTGTTGTTGCACTACTCACAATAGCTAAAATTTGGAAGCAACCTAAGTGTCCATCGACAGGTGAATAGATAAAGAAAATGTGGCACATACACACACAATTGAGTTCTATTCAGCCATGAAAAAAGAATGAGATCCAGTCATTTGCAACAACATGGATAGAACTGGAGATGATTATGTTAAGTGAAATAAGCCAGGCAGAGGAAGACAAACGTCATATGTTCTCACTTACTTGTGGAATCTGAAAATCAAAACAATTGAACTCATGGACATAGAGAGTAGAAGGATGGTTACGAGCAGATGGGAAGGATAGTGAGGGGCTAAGTGGGGAGGTGGTTAATAGAAACAAAAAAAAATGAAAAGAATGAATAAGATCTACTATTTGATAGCACTACAGGGTGAGTATAGTCAATAATGACTTAATTGTCATTTAAAATAACTAAAAGAGTGTAACTGGATTGCTTGTAACTCAAAGGATAAATGCTTGAGGGGATCCATACCCTATTCTCCATGATGTGATTATTTCACATTGCATGCCCGTATCAAAACATCTGATGTACCCTATAAATATACTACACATCCACAAAAATTACTAATAAAAAATAAAATAAAATATTATTCCCTGAGTATGATGAGTTACAGTGATTGTTTTTAAATGTTAAACCAACCTTGAATTTTTGGAATTAAACCCTACTTGGTCATGATTCATCACCCTTTTTATGTATTGCTATCTATTTGTTCATACTTTGTTGAAAATTTTTGTTTCTGTATTCATGAGGGATATTGGTTTGAAATGTTCTTTTTTAAAAAAAATTCTATGTAAGGTTTGGTATTAGAGTTATGTTTGCTTACTAAAAGATTGAGAAGTGATCCTTCTTCTATTTTCTGCTGAAGTTTAAGATTGGTATTATTTCTTCCTTGAATGAGAGAATTCAACAGCAGGGTTATTTTCAATGTTTTTGATACATTTTTTATAAATGACAAATTTCTTTATGAATTTACAAACTCAATTGATATGAGGATATTCATGTTCTTTGTTTCTGAAGTTGTTAATTTTTCTTAATTGTCTTTTTCAAAAATGTTGGTTATTTTGCCAAAGTTATCAAATTGTTGCCATAAAGTTGCTCATATTATTCTATTATCTTTTTAATATCTGAAAGATCTGTAAACAAAAAATAAATTCCTAAGGTCCCCCAACCATTTGAATGGGCTTCCTCCTCAGCCAGAGCAGTCTTAAAATTTCATTTCACCTGAAAGACTGGTTCAGGCCATGACATGAGCTGGGGGGTTGGACATGCCTCATTATAGCTCTCTGCCATTAACATCAACACAGACTTTAAGTCTGATAAAAAACATTTTACAATCTGTTCTCTCTGAAGCCTATTACCTGAAGATTTCCTCTGCAATTAAGAACTTTGGTCTCCCCAGTCCTTTATCTTATCACAGACATTCCTTTCTGTTGACCACAGGTCTTTAGATAAACTCAACCAATTGTCAACCAGAAAATTTGTAAATATACCTATAAGCTGGAAGCCCCTACCACTTCGAGTTGTCTTGCCTTTTTGGAACAAACCAATGTGTTTCTTAAATGTATTTGATTGATGTCTCATGCCTTTCTGAAATATATAAAACCAACCTGCACGCTGACCACCTTGGGCACATGTTCTCAGGACCTCCCAAGACCTGTATCACAGGCCATGGTCACTTCTATTTGGCTCAGAATAAATCTCTTCAAATATTTTACAGAGTTTGACTCTTTTTGTCGACAGATCTATGGTGATAACCACTTACTTTATTTTGGATATTGGTGATTTGTGTTTTCTCACATTTTTCCATGATCAGTCTAGCTAGGAGTTTGCCCATTTTGTTGACATTTTCAAATAACCAGCTCTTGGCTGTGTCAATTGTTAAATTATCTTTGTGCTTTATATTATATTATTTTTAGCTCTTGTCATTACTATTGGTTTTCCTGCCTTTTTTTCTTTTACTTTACTCATATATATTTAATTTCTAATATTCTTAAATTTTTAATTTTTGGGGGCACACAGTAGGTGTACATATTTATGGGGTACATGAGATGTTTTGATATAGACATACAATGTGAAATAATAATACATTATGATGAATGGGGTATCTACCCCCTCAAACATGTACCCTTTGGGTTATAAACAATTCAGTTACACTTTTTTAGTTACTTTTAAATGTACAATTAAATTATTATTGACTAGAGTTACTCTGTTGTGCTGTCAAATAGTAGGTCTTACTCATTCTTTTTAACTGTTTTTTTTTTTTGTAACCATTAACCATCCCCACTTACCTCATCCACTACCCTTCGGAGCCTCTGGTAACAATACTTCTACTCTCTATGTCCATGAGTTCAATTACTCATTGAATTTTTAATTTTTAGATTCCACCCATAAGTAAGAACACATGATGTTTATCTTAGTGTTTGGTTTATTTTACTTCATATAAGGGAAATATGCTCATATTTTTTCAATCATATTTCAGTGTTTATGATTTCCCCACTATATTAAGGTAGAAGCTTAGGTCACCAATTTTATTTTTTATTTTTTCAAATATGAGTATTTAAAGCTGTAAGCTTTCCTCTAAGCACTGTTTATTCTATGCCTCACAACTTTGATATGCTGTGTTTTTATTATCTTTTTGTTCAAAATATTTTCTAATTTCCTTTGCCATTTTATTTTTGCCCATAAATTACTTAGAAAGATGTTGTTTAATTTCCACATATCTTGATATTATTGACCTATCTTTTGATTCAGTTTTGGAGAGAAAATATATTGGGCATAATTTCTATTTTTAAAAAATTTATTGAAATTTGTTTTATGGCCCTGTATATTGTCTGTCTTAGTGAATATACCATGTGCGCATGAAAGAAACGTGTATTCCACTATATGGAAGGTTGGATCAGAGCCATCGGTGTTATCATTTAGATATTCCATATATTTACTGATATTTTGTCTAGTTGTTCCATTAATTGCTGAGAGAGATACAAAAATCCCTAATATTTGTGGAAATTTTGAATACTCTTTGTAATTCTGTCAATTTTTGCTGTATATATTTGAGGCTCTAATGTTATTAAGCACATACCTACTTTTTATTGTTGTGTCTTCTTGATTAATTGTCCTCATTATCATTATGAAATGTTCCTCCTTTTCTCTGGTAGTACTCTCTTTCTCATAAACTCTATTTTACCTTATATTAAAAAGCCTCTCAAATGTTCTATGCTTATTGCTTATATAGCATGCTTTTTTTTCATATATTTACTGTAATCATAGCAGTGTTTCATAGTGTCTTACTTATTGGAAGCATGTAACTGATTTTTATTTTTTAATCCTTTCTGAAAATCCCTACAATTGAAAAAAAATATCGAAATATAATTCACATCCCAGGAGTCTCTCAACCTATTCTGGTTCAGGGACTGTGTGATTTGCAAATTGTTTTTTGCTCAAGTCAACGCTGCTAAATTTGTCTAAGGTTTGTCTTTTAACAGATGTTGTTCAAAGTGGGATCTGAAGTAGAGCTTCTAGCTACCCCCAAGGAGCACTTAGTGAGCATGGTACCTAGAGGACTCACTTTGTCCACTGCTCTCTTTCAGCAATTAGCGATCATGGGTAAGTTCTCTCTGAGATTCTGAAGTTGCATGGATTTTCATTTTGAGCTATCCAAGTTTGGGCAAATGCGTGATCTAAACTGGGTGCAGAAGTCATGACAGAAACTGGACTGGGGCAAGGATCAGATTGGAACTGTTAATTAACTGGCTTGGATCCAGCTGGAGGACTCAGATGTCTGACTGAATCAGACAGAAACTATAATTAAGTGGTAATACTTAAGAAGGTGCAAACTTCAGCTCTCATAAATTAGTAGGGATTTTCATGTCCCATATCTTTTGTCTTTTTTAATTCTGCGCTTAGGTAGGAAAAAAAAACCACTGGTTAAATTGACCAAGGGGAGTTGAGAGCCAAATCCAAGAATCAATGTAAAAACCAGAACCTTAATTTCTGAAGAAATGAGTAATTTACCTTCTAGCCATGCCTATCTGTACATGCATAAGTATTAGGCCCCAGGAACAGCTAACACAGAAATCACAAAATCCTACTAAAGGTAATTTAAAATTACAAAAGAACGTTCCAAATGAACAACACTGCACTTTAAAAATTGCATTGAAAAATGAGGGCTCTTTAATTAGTCTCATCTAGTGATGACTACTGATGTGCAAACGCTTCTAAAAAGATTTCAATGTTTCTATTCTCACTTTTAAAGGACTATATAAAAGGCAAAAAAAAGTTAAGTAAAGAATTGATAAGAAAAATTAAGTCTGTTAACCTTTTGGCTTATTTATCTCACTCCAAAGGTGAAAAGAAAGCTATCCTGGATAAAGTATTTATAAAAGGTGGGCCCTCAGGTAAAGTAGGCTTGCTTCTTTTTCCAATTGTGAAAGGAAAAGAAATATTGGGACTCCAAACTTACTAAGCCAAAGGGAAAAGTTAAGCTGGGAAGTGGGTCATGAAAACCTGCTTCCTATTTTGGCTCCTAAATAAGATTGTCACAAAGACGAAAAGCCACCTCCCTCACATCTGGCCCACAAGTAAACTCCCTGTGGGCACCAAAATCTTCACCCTAAAGTGTTTCTGTTAAAGTTCACCATGGCAATGTAAATTCATAGCTTATCTTCACAGGTGTGGGGACATAGGACAGAACTCAAAGTCATCCCTCTGCGCACCTGTGACAAACGCCTATCTGATTGTTTCCTCTGCCCTGTTGTCTACATTATCTTATGTAAAAATGCAGAATCACTGAACCAGACAAGGGCATGGCTATTTTTTCCTATTCCCCTCTCACATGAAAATTGTGTATTTCTCAATATTCCACCCTTTCCACTTTAAATATTGAAGCTCTCAAAATAATCTTTGGAGAAAGGCATAGACCTGTCTCTCGGGTATGAGTCTTTAACTTTGTGAAATAAACCTCCCAGAATAATTGAGACTTGCCTTGGTCATTTTCCTTTACTGACATCTGGTAACCACGGAGAGATCCTGAGTGAAGGTGGCCCCACCTGCGGCAGCTCTCCTATGAGTGCTGTGTCTCAATTGGGCACTTTATAGCCTGAACCAAAAGGATGATTTCCTGAGGTCTGGGACAACCTTCCTCCAGGGATTCCTGACCTCCCAAAAATTTTTAATTGGGGGTCTCAGGTTTAATTTGCTGTTAAAAAACTTTTTTTTTTTTTCTGGGGAGTTTTTTGCACGGTTTCATCAAGGAAAGTGAACTTGTCTGATTCTGCACAGCAGCAGAGCATATCACTTTGGGCCCCAACACTAGGTAAGGAGGTGAGTTGGGATTCTGTCTTGCAAATTCTCTTTAGTGATTAAAGTTAGTGTCAACAACCTACTGGTCTTAATTTCTCCTTACATTTAGAGCTCCCAGAAATCGTACAATTTGTGTGATCATTGTTCATTTTGCTTGCTGTTTTGTTTATTTGTTTCTGTCTTGTTGTGCTTTTTTGTTTTGTTTTGTTTTTGTATGTTTCACTCCTTCTCTTATTGGACTTGACCAACTCTAAACCCTCTAGCTTATGAGCATGGAATTTTCCACTTCAAAGAAATAAAAGCACTTTGTTCCTTTGAGCCTTTAGAGGCATTCTCAGATGACTGAGGATCACATGAGGGTGTCTGGGAGAAACACTCCATAAGAAGTGCAGAAGCTTTGAGTAGGTTTCCCCCACAGAAGAACACACTCAGGGTCTAATCTCAGCCAGTGGGTACATATAAGGAGCTGACCCCTCCTGCACCTTGACCCCCTGACATACTATGCCAGGCAGGCACAACATGGGCAGACCAAACCTTTCCAGGGAGTAATGGCCCTGAAAAGCTAGATCCTCAAACAGCACATTTTATGTCTGACATACCCCCCAAGTTGGTCAAATCTGAAGGAGAACTTTAAATTATGGGAAATGAGGCCCCAAAGTTGGCTAAAACTTCCAGAGATGAGGAACACATAGTTCCACCTTTAGAAACTCTGGCCTGGATTATTCAAAATACTCATGGTGAATTGTCATGCAAATATTTAATCAAGTGGAGCAGTATACACAAAAGGATTCTAAGTTACAACAACCTAGATGGGGATCTTTTGATATGCCCAAATTAGTGATCTAGGATAGACAATGCAGGCATAAAAACTGAACAATCAGAATGGGAAAGCTACTTAAAATGGCACCTAGAGAGTAGCAACAAGGGGGAAGATGGTCTCATTTCATTATAGGAGGTCAACAAATAACTTAGAAACGTTAACCAAGAACTCTCTAATGTTTTATCTTTGTATCACTCCATCTTCACACTGCTATAAGGACATACCCAAGACAGGGTAATTTATAAAGGAAAGAGGCTTAACTGAGTCATAGTTCCACAGGACTGGGGAGGCCTCAGGAAACTTACAATCATGGCAGAAGAGGAAGCAAACATGTCCTTCTTTATACAGAAGCATCAAGGAGGAGTACAGAACAAAGCAGGTTGTGGGGAAGCCCCTTATAAAACCATTAGAACTCGTGAGAACTCACTCACTATCACAAGAACAGCATGGAGGTAACCACTCCTATGATTCAATTACCTCTCACCAGGTCCTTCCTATGACATGTGGGGATTATTGGAACTACAGTTTGAGACGAGATTTGGGTGGAGACACAGCCAAACCATATCATTTTGCCCCGGCCCCTCCCAAATCCCATGTCCTCACATTTCAAAACACAATTATGCCCTTCCAACAGTCTCACATTCATTCCAGCATTAACTCAAAATTTCACATCCAAAAGTCTCATCCAAGACAAGGAAAGTCCCTAATGCCTATGAGCCTGTAAAATCAAAAGCAAGTCAATTACTTCCGAGAAACAATGGAGGTACAGGTATTGGGTAAATACACCCACTCCAAATGGGAGAAATTGGCCAAAACAAAGAGGCTAGAGGCCCCATGCAAATCCAAAATCTAATAAGGCAGTCATTAAACCTTAAAGATCCAGAATGATTTCCTTTAACTCCATGTCTCACATCCAGATCACAATGACGCAAGAGGTGGCCTCCCACAGCACTGGGCAGCTCCACCCCTGTGGCTTTGCAGGGTACATCCCCCCTCCCAACTGCTTTCACAGGCTGACATCAAGTGTCTGTAAATTTTCCAGGTGTACAATGCAAGCTGTCGGTGGATCTACAATTCCGGGTTCTGGAGGATGGTGGCCCTTTTCTCACAGCTCCACTAGGCAGAGTCCCAGTGGGGACTCTGTGTGGGGGCTTCAACCTCACATTGCCTTTCTGCACTGCCCTAGCAGATGTTCTCCATGAGGCCCATGCCTCTGCAGCAAACTTCTGCCTGGACAACCTGCCATTTCCATATATCCTCTGAAATCTAGGTGGAGGTTTCTAAACCTTCATTCTTGACTTCTGTGTACCTGCAGGCTCCACACCACATGGAAGCTGCCATGGCTTGGGGCTTGTACCCTCTGAAGCTATGGCCTGAGCTGTACATTGGCCCCCCTTAGCCACAGCTTGAGCTGAAGCAGCTGGGACACAGGACACCATGTAGTGAGACTGCACAGAGCAGGAGGGCCCTGGGCCCTGCTCCCAAAACCATTTTTTCCTTCTAGGCCTCTGGGCCTGTGATGGGAGAAGCTGCTGCGAAGGTCTCTGACATGCCCTGGAGATATTCTCCCCATTGTCTTGGTGATTAACATTTGCCTCCTTGTTTCTTATGCAGATTTCTGCAGCCTGTTTGAATTTCTCCCCAGAAAATGGGTTTTTCTGTTCTATCACATTGTCACCTGCAAATTTTCCAAACTTTTATGCTCTGTTTTCCTTTTAAACATAAGTTACAGTTTCAGATCATCTCTCTAAAGTTGAAAGTTCCACAGATCTCTAGGACAGGGGCAAAATGCTACCAGTCTCTGCTAAGGAATAACAAGAATAATCACCTTTGCTTCAGTCCCAGGAAGTTCCTCATCTCCATCTGAGACCACCTCAGCCTGGACTTCATTGTCCATATCACTCAGCATTTTGGTCAGAGCCATTCAACAGATCTCTAGAAGTTCCAAACTTTCCCACATCTTCCTGTCTTCTGAGACCTCCAAGTCTCTAGGAAGTTCCAAACTTTCCCACATTTTCCTGAGTTCTTCTGAGTCCTCCAAATGGTTTCACCTTCTGCCTATTACTCAGTTCCAAAGTCACTTCTACATTTTCAGGTATCTTTACAGCAGCACACCACTCTCTGTGGTACCAATTTACTGTATTAGCCCATTCTCGTGCTGCTGTAAGAATATACCCGAGACTGGGTAATTTATAAAGAAAAGAGATGTAATTGACTCACAGTTCTACAGGGTTTGGGAAGCCTCAGGAAACTTATAATCATGGTGGAAGGGAAAGCAAATATGTCCTTCTTCACATGGCAGCAGCAAGGAGAATTGCAGTACCAAGTTGGGGGAAAGACCCTTAAAAAACCATCATATTTGTGAGATCTCACTCACTATCATGAGAACAGCATGGAGGTAACCACCCCCATGATTCAATGACCTCCCACTGAGTACCTCCCACTACACATGGGGATTATGGGATCTATAGTTCAAGATGAGATATGGGTGGGAACACAGCCAAACCACACCAATCTCTCTTAAAGAAATCCTCAGAATTCCTTACTTTTTCCCTGGTACCTTCCCGACCTCAATTTACACCGACACTTTACCCTGATCTCTCTGAGCTTCCTGGACCAGCTCTGTTTCTTCCTTCTTCTGCATGTTTCGATCTACCATCTTCCCCTCCTTGTCTGACACTCACTAAACAGAAGGCAGCAGAGAGTCTAACTTCCAAGATCGTACCTCCTGCTAATTCCCTGGTATCCCGAGTGGCAGCCTCTCATCTGGAAGATGCAGAGAAGGGGACCCTGCAGTGAAATCTCCCATGATCACCCTGTTTCTAGAACAACTGGTGAAAGGTAAGGGAACCCTGGCGATTGTCTATCAACCTTGTTCAAAGGATGAGTTTTGGGACGTAGTTAAATAATTTCCTGAGCCCCATAAAGATGCAATTGAGCTGCCCATGAATTTGAGCTGATTATCAGAACCTATGACCCAGGTCTTTCAGACCTTTACCAGCTGGTTCACATGTTGGTCTCAGAAGCTAAAGCTAAGGAATATCTGGAAAAAGCACAGTGGCCAGACCCTTTAGCAGACTTGACCCCTGAAGACCCAACACAGCCACAACAACCAGCTCCCCAAATTCCAAAAGACAGGCGTAAAGATGCACAGAAATGAGCTACTGCTGTGTTAAATATCATTCCCTCAGTGTTCCAAACGGTTGTGGATTGTAATAAAATCCAGCAAATGCTGCCAGAACCCAAATGAATCAGCTTTACATTACGTTATACATTTTGACATAACTTAGAGGCAATATTTGAGATGCCAGCTGATTGCTTTGAAAATAATAAAGATACATTATTAAATACTAGTTTTTAAAATGGACTAAATCATGATTTAGTCACCCTTGTCAAATGCCACATGACAAATTGGGCCACAGCAGGACCTAATAAACTAGTAAACTTAACTGACCAATTATCCTGCACTATGTTAAAATAGGAAAAACAAAAGACTGCCTGAGTTATGCATTTATAGTTAAGCAATTAATTTCTCAAACCTTTCCCCTCAGAAAAATGTTAAGCTCCCTTGGTCTGAGGATTCTTCCCTCCTAGTGTTTTACTAATGTAAACGACTGGGACACCTTAAAAGGGACTGACTTAGGCTGAAACAGAAGCAACAGCAGGAAGGTGCAATTCAGAAAGACTAGGAGGGCTCTAAGGAAGTTAAAAGGTTTCACCTCTCCAAATATACCACCCTGAAAAACAAATCGGGAGAGATTAATATAATAAACCATGAGCTTTCAACTGCCTTAAATGACACAGGAACAACTATATCTGTTATAAATCCCACCTTATTTAGAAACCCCATTCCTTGGAATAATGAAAAGATTAACATGGTGGGTGTTTTTAATAAAACTACCTCATCTTTCAAATCCAAACCTATACCTTACCATTTCATCAGATTTATTTTTCCTCTGAAGGCTCTAAACGTGACACACTCAGTAGGTTCCATGTATTCCTAATATGCCCCAGGGCCCCCGTCAATTTTGTGAGCTGTGATCTCCTCATTATCCATAATGCTCATACCTCTTTTTCATCAAAAGTGAACTTTTTTTAGAATTGGAACAAGAAGATCAAAAAAAAAAAAAAAAAACAACCAAATTAAAATCATCCTGGTAATGTACCACAATTTAGTCCTAGCAATGTTAAAACATCATCTTGTGACTTGCAAAGTAAAATGGAGACAGAAAAGTAAATATTAGAGGAGAAGAGAGAACATTGGAATAAAAAGCAGGGAATGGTGAGACTCCTTTTAGCCTCCCCAATCTTCCTGGTAACCCCAGAAGCAGAGCATTTGCTCACGGGTATCCCCTCTCACTTATGGTCCCAGGCAAATACAGACATAGGGAAAATATTCTCAGCCACTCCAATAAAGATTGAAATAAATGCAAGGAAACCCCTATCTGACCATAAACAATATCCTCGATGACAGAAAGTCATAAATGAAATTGCCACTATCATACAAGATTATCTCAAAAAGGGGCTCATTATTCCCTGTACTAGCCCCTGCAACAGCCCTATATTCTCTGTAATACAAAAAAAGAAACAAACAAAAAAGGAGAGGATGAAAATTTGTACAGGACTTGAGGCCAATAAACAATATTATAATTCCCTGACACCCGGTAGTCCCCAACCCACATATCCTTCTATTAGCTATACTTACTATCAGCCAGTATTTCTCAGAAAATCAGTACAGCCCTTATTATTCTGAAGTCCATACATCAGTAGGCAGGTATGAAAGTGGCATGTGTATGTTAATAGCTTGCTGTTATTCTCTTCTAAAGTTTAAGTTGTCTAGCTTCAGTTCCCATGGCTTTAAGAGAGCACAGCTTAAATTTTAGTAGTTTTGAATCAGGAAAAATGGGGGCGGGGCAAAGAAAGAAAAAAGAAAAAAATGAAAACATTATTTTGGAAACTTGTAGCCAGAAAAAATTTTAGAATTATTTCCAAGCCATAGAAAATAATAAAAATTGGAAAACATTAGATAACACTAGAACAACAGATGTACTACAGTTTATTTTGAAATGTAATTTCACTCTCTCCAGTAATTTTTTTTACTAGAGATGAATCAAAAAACAAGTTCAATTGCAAAATAAGTTTTAGTCTTATTATACTGGGATGGATAATTTGCATAAAGTCAGCAAAAATAATTATTTGCCACATAGGTACCTCCTTTGAAAAAAATAGCTTTGCTGGAAATTTATTCTTTCAGGAATCTCAAGTTTGACTTTAATGCCTTAAGCCCAGCCTGTGCCTGCAAACACCCATATTGATTGGGTGAATTTCTCACCTCTAAGTCCCAAGAAAATGTGGGGCTCCTGGGCCTGGCAGAAAGTGACATTCTTTACTTAGCACAGTTCAGGGACCTATGCAGGGAATGTGTAGACAAGGTATGAGGCCAGCTTTCACAAGGGGCTTTTATTGGCTCTATGTCAACTTTGATTCCTTATAAAAGTCTGTATCTGATAGCATGTCATTCCAGTCAAAACCTTGGTAAAATAACCAGTATCTCCAATTGTGTCCTGCTACAAAAAAATGATTCTTATTGCACTTATGCAAATAACTATATTGCCATAAGTTAAGAATACTCACAACTAGTTTCCAAACTTTGGAGAAATTAGGTAGAGAGACATGTGCTCCAAATTTTGTTTACAGTAGTATACTGTACTCAATTGTTAAAAGCTGTAAATAGCTGAAAAGAAAAGTTTACTTTGCTCTGAAAAACAAAGAAATAATCAGCAATGTTTTTACCAAAAAGTCATAGAAGTATTATTTCTGTCTTTTATTAGTTCTGACCATGCAGTTACCTCTTGTACTACTAATATTCATGAACATTGCAGCTCTCCATGGGAGTCTTAGAAGTATTTTCTCTATTTTAGTGTCATAGTCTTCAAAAACCTGCATTCCAGAGCACCTGTCAAGAGTCCCATGCTGATTATAAGAGCACCTTGTGAAAAGAATAAAAGTAAAACAACTGTGGATGACAAAAGTCATAAAACAGTCAGAGTTGATACGGAAACTTACTTCTGTGGCATACAGCAATTTTACATAATAATCATAATTGCTACTTCTAACATACAATAAAACATGTCAGAATCACAGAAATATAGAATTCTGGAACACATACTAATAACACATTTATAAATCCAAAGAAGGGTAAACACTTTTATATTTGACAATACTTCTTGTATGATTTTATTATATTAAATAAGCTGAATATGTCTCTTTTGGACTTCAGGGGACTAATAGTAATGAAGACCAAAGTTAGAATTTGACTTTGGAAAGTTTGTCAAATATGAAAAGTTTAAAACACTTGATATCATAAAATAGGATCACAGGCCATAGTAAAATAAATCATTCATTTAACCAAAGTGATAAACATTTAAAAAAAAAGTGAAAATCTTTATTCTTTGAAAAGGAGACTTAATTTTCCAAACAATAAGCCCTAATGAAAACAACATGAGGCCAATTTAATTTGTTTTTCAACATTTTATAAACAATATATAAAATTGTAATTATCTTGACCATGAGATATAATTTCCATAAGCCTTTTTGCAACCTTTATAACCTTTATTAACCAGTAGGGTAATGCTTCAAGAAAATCTTGTTAATCTGACAAGGGGACCTATATGTTGGTTTTGCATCAGCATGCATTCAACATCAATGGTTAATTTATGGAGAAACTGAACTTATTTTATCTCTCAAAATTGGCCCTTACAATCTCACGTGACCACCTCTTCTGTAATAGTCCCTGGGCCTTGAGTGGTTGAATAATTTTAATTTCTGGGTCTCACAAACACAGTTTATTTTGATGGGCATCTTCTACTGGGTCTGAAAATGAGGTTTTAACTGCTATCAGTCTTTCAGATTTAGCAGGACTTGGTGTCCTTTTTAGACCCATGGGTGAATGCCCAGTAACTTAATGGCACCAGAACTTTAAAAGCACATACAGGAAGTTGCACAGATGTAATAACTTTAACTTAAAAATAAATTGAATCTCAGTTTTCTCTAAGCAAATCAAACTTAGTAATTATGACATAGAAATTATTTCAATAAAGCTTATGATGTGTTTATTAAGCCAGTTACCCAAAGGCAAAAAATAGACCTTCTGCAGTGTGACTGCTGTTCCCTATGGGAAATATTACGTGGAAAGGAAACATTTCCTTTAGGCCTCAAAGGTAAAACATATCTTTTTTTCTTTTTTTGTGTAGCATCAGGCCACTACAGTTAGACCCCAAAAGAAAAAAAAAAAAACTCACAGGAGCTGAAAACGAATTAAAAAATAGAGTTATTATTTCAGTCCATTTAAAAGGGGAGAGAAAGCTGAAAACAGTGAGACGCAATAAAAGTTGATGTATAAAAAAATTTAATGTCTTATAATTTGTTAAGAGTAAAGCAATGCCTTAAGAAAAGTTCGTAGTTTGAACCAATTCTTTAGTGTATAAGTGTTTTTTAAGAATCAAAACCCAAGCTATAGAAAGACCATTATAATTCCCCTTTAATTATAGACAATTTGATCATAGAAAAGGTTCTCTTTTTTATATAAATCCTCTTACTACAACTTACACAGACCATTCTTGACATGCTTCGACTTTCTGGCTTGTCCTGAACATCAATCTTTCTTGAACAACCATTTACTTTAGGACAAAATTTACCATACAATATTCTTTCTCATATAAAGTTATTTTTCTTTGAGCTTTCTTACCAAAAACACCTCTTTATTTCTGTAACATTCTTTACATCTCTCTTATATCCTGGTTCCTTTCACCTTGTTTTATACATAACCTTCAAATAAGCTTTGAATTAGAGAAAAAGTCATACACCTTTTAAAAAAGGACACACATTTTTTAGAAAGAATATTTGCCCATGGTATTTTTATTGGAAAATATCCAATTAATGAAATTTCCATTATTTAATTTAATACAACTTTAGATTCTAAATTATGGCAAGTTTGTTTCCAAGTATTTATCCCAGTACATTTACCTAATTATATTAATAGATTACTTAAAGTATTTATGAAAACTGTTATAGTCATCATTTAAAGTAATAAAACTGCAATTGCAAAATTATAACTGAGACAGTGAAAGAGATATGACCTAAGTGACTCCATCTTGCTTCTAACCTCCAAACTGTCTTTGTTCATTTTTTGGCATAGGCTGAACTAACTTTGGAAAGAACTAGTTTTTAGCACAGCTTTGAAACAAAGACTCTAACAGTCGTTTTCCAAAACAAACCCCTTTTTCTGCCTAGGAGCTAGACTGCCTAAAGCCACAAGATTAGAAATTATGGTTTAGGAGTCATGCAGCCAGAGGCTGCAAAATTTTAAATATCCCCAAATTGCTCCTGGGGATAATATCATCACTGTAAAATGTAAGATTAGTGCTTGAGATATTTTGCAGACCCTGCACTCAATGGATCAGCTGGAACCACTCAGATTGATAAACTGGCTCATCTGGTCTTGTGGCCCCCACCCAGGAACTGACTCAGCAAGAGAACAGCTTCCACTCCCTATTATTTCATCTCCGACCCAACCAATCAGAACTGCTTACTCACTGGCCCCCTACTCACCAAATTATCCTTAAAAATCTCTGATCCCCAAATTCTCAAGAAGATTGGTTTGCATAATAATAAAACTCTGGTCACCTGCAGAGTTGGCCCTGCATGACTTTCTCTTTATTGCAGTTCCCCCATCTTGATAAATTGGCTCTGTATAGGCAGCAGGCAAGGTGAACCTGTTGGGTGGTTACAATTATTTTCCAGCCAGCCATTTTGTAGACTGTGGATTTCAGGTGTTTATCTAAGTAAAAATCTTAGGATTAAATATGTAGTTAATTTACTAAATAATTCAAAATTTAGTTATTCTCATTAACCCAATATTAATGTCTTATTTATCAAAAATTACACAAGCAAAGATTATTCTGTTTTGGGCTGGGTTTATAGTTTTGTAATCCTTAGGCCAAATTTTGACACCTTATAGTATTTGGCAGGGATAGGTATGAAATTTCTTAATAAATGCAAGCAAAAATGTATGCTGGAATTTCTTAAGATATTTCTAATGTTACTTAACCAATCATTTTAAAGCTAGCTTATTAAAGAGTTTACTTAAGTCATGTGAACTTGAAAAACATTTGGGATTATTAATTTATGAGTACTCTTTAAGCCCATTTGGTACCTTGTGGCCAAAAACATAACAAAATACATGTATGTACACATAAACACACACATACACCCATATAACCAAATATCCTATAGCTTTTACTTCATAACTCTAGTCATGAGATGTTAATACAAGTTAATTGGTCTGCAGAAACTGTAACAAAAGAAATGGTTGGATGCATACAGTAAATTTTATCTCAGTAGACATGTAACAGCAGAATTAAAGAAGGCAGAAAAGAAAGCAGAGAGATAGAGAACTTGGGAACTTTATACTTGCAGGTTGACCTTTGGACTCTGAATTTTCTTTGATGTAACTGTGCACAAAAAGACCACATACATCAATTTCACACAAACACTTGCAAGAAGAGGTGCCATGAAACCAAAGGAGTGCCTGAAAGGGGGTCATTCTCCTTGTTTTTCCTCATTCTTAGATTATTTGTTTCCCACTTTTTTAAAGGGAGGAATTGAGCTGCGGCCTAGGGTTCAGTGGAGTGGGTCAAAATGTGCTAGTTGTGGGTGGGACTCCACAGTGTGTCACCATTGAGTCATTTCCTCCCTCTTACATATCTCAGGTTCTCTCTCCCGAGGTCTAGACCTCAGAGACGGCTCGAAATGATATGGAGTTAACAGCTTCTACATGTACTTCCTGGACAAATCTTTCTAAACTAATTTTGTTGGGGGTTCCCTGTAGTGTCACTGAATATGATGGGGGGCCAACCCCTCAGACATTCCCATTAGGCCTCTAGTCACCCAGAGGTGCCTTTTGGCTGGGAGGAGCAAAATGTGCTTTCTCTTCAGAGCTGAGGAAATTCATTCTCTCATTTACTTATGAAAAGAACAGTTAAGTTCCTCACACAAATGTGCAGACGAGCCAATCAAAATTAATTTCAGGATAAAAAGGCAATAAAAAGGAATCTTTACAATACGCCTCTGAACTAGCATTAGAATCCTAAATAATGACTTCCTAGAAGACAAAAAAATCCAGCCAGGAACACTTCCTGTAAACTGTTCTCAGCCACCTGTAACTTTGTAGATCTCACGCACTGTTACACAAGCCAAGGTCATATCCTCTCACAGTACAAGGCACTCTCTGGTACCCCCAAAGCCAAGGAGGTCAGGTAATGTAAAGCAGGAGAGCAGAGCTTTAGACCTAATAAGAATCTGCCCATGACTCTAGAAAATCCGCAGAGAAAACCAAATACCCCAACAGGGGAGAGTGGTACCTTTGTTCTGAGTTATTTAAGGGGTTCTAGTCATTAGAAGCCTTCTCTAGATTTTTTTTGGCACTGAAGATGGTGAACGGGGCAGGGGTTATAAAGCAGAGGAAAAGTAAATGAAAGAAAAAAATTTTTAAGACAGGAAGCAAACACAGAAAACAAGCGTGTTTGTTTGTTCTCCCTTTTGCAGCTGCAAGAAATTCTAGCCAATTCAGAGAGGCCTTATTAACCATAATTTGGAATTCTCATTCAGATTTGATTAAGCCAGGTAGAGTTGGTCAAATCTGATGAGAGAAAGACCAGAACAAACAAAAACAACAAAAACCCATCAATATGATTACTGAGTGCTCTAATGGTAAAAAGATTTTAAGACCAGCTGGTTGTGAGTCTTAACTTTAGCCAAAACAAAACCCCAATTCAGCTGCTTACCTAGGGATGGGTCTTAGGCTAAAGACTGCTCTCTACTATTCTAGAAGCAGGAAATAACTCAAACTCACCTTCCCTGTTGGAAGTGAACTCAAACTCTAGAAATAAGTAACCTGCCTTCAATCATTATGGAAGCAGGAAAACTTGCCTTCCTTGTTGGAAGCAAGTAAAAGTGCCAGAAATGGAGTTGTACAGCAAAATAAACTTTAGATCTTGACCAAATTTTAGGATATCAGGGATTCTTTGGAGAGAGTGCTTCCAGGCCTCAGCAAATTGTCCTACTGGTTTGAGCCATAAAGATAGCTCAATCTGATACCAAACACTGATAGGAGATTTGTGAAAGGTAAAGGGCAACTCCACTCAGAATCCCACCATGGTTGCCAAATGTGAAGCCCAAATACCTGAGACAGGTCTCAGACAATTTATGAAGTTTATTTTGCCAAATTTAATGATGTGCTCCCATAACACAGCCTCAGGAGGTCCTGACAACATGTGCCCAAGGTGGTCAAAGCAGAGTCTGGTTTTATATATTTTAAGAAGACATAAGCCATCAATCAATATATGAAAGATGTACATTAGTTCTGTCCAGAAAGGTGAAACAATGTGAAGCAGGAAGGGGGATTCCAGGTTATAGGTAGATAAGAGACAAACAGTTGCATTTTTTTGAGTTTCTGATTAGCCTTTCCAAAAGAGGCAATTAGATATGCATTTATCTCAGTGAGCAGAGAGATAACATTTAGTTCTATCTTTCCTTTGTCCACAAGGAAATTCTTTGTGAGGGAGGTATGTAGCTTTTTTATCTTAGTAGCTATCTTTTTAAGGAATAGAATGTGAGGAAGGTTTGCCCTAAGGAGTTCCCAGCTTGACTTTTTCCCTTTGGCTTAGTGGTTTTGAGGTCCCAAGATTTATTTTCCTTTCACAATGGTTATTAAGAAATGAGATATGCCAAACAAATACTGATAGGGTTGAAACAAAGACCTTAATACAGCACTATTGAAGGTTGAGTGGATGATATGGTTTGGCTGTGTCCCCACCCAAATCTCATCTTGAATTGTACCTCCCATAATCCCCACATGTTATGGGATGGACCTAGTGGGAGGTAATTGAATTATGGGGGTGGGTTTTTCTCATGCTGTTCTCATGATAGTGAATATGTCTCATGAGATATGATGGTTTCATAAATGGTAGTTCCCCTGCACACATTCTCTTGCCTGCCACCGTTTCAGATGTGCTTTTGCTCCTCTTTTGCCTTCCACCATGATTGTGAGGCCTCCCCAGACATGTGTAACTGTGAGTCCATTCGACGTCTTTTTCTTTGTAAATTACTCAGTCTCAGGTATTTCTTCATAATGGTATGAAAATGGAATAATACAGCAGACCAAAAAGATCCTTGCTGTTCTCTCAACACTAAAGGGCTTTGGAAAAGTCATCATATACCTTAAAGTATGGAGAAATTTAAAAAGCCAAATGGCAGAAATTGCAAGGAGAAACTTGGCCCTTGGGGCAGTAGTCAGGCAGATTAATCCGATAAAGATTGACAAAAGAGCCAGCATCCCTTGGCTCAACTCCCTCTCTGGGGACTCAAATCCTTATACACTGGGTGGGTAAAATGGTCACAGGGAAGAAAAGAGAAGTTTTGAGGACGTGTTTACATGGGAGCTCCTTATACTGTGGTATCAACCCAATTGATGAAGGCCTAATGCAGGCTTTCATTTAGTTAAGAGAATATAGAAATGTAAGGAATAATAAGATTATAAAAGTTGGAATACTTACACGGTATGAACAGGTTATTTCTCCTTTACTGAATGTTTTATGTGAATGAATATTACATTTGACTGGAGAATACTTCTACCTAGTATTGTAAAGAAAAACTTGTGATGAATTCTGAATGGAGATTACAGTTAGGAATATAAGGGTTGATAGGGTTAAAGTAAAAGTTTTGAGGAGAATTGGTATGTTTGAACAGGCTTTATGTGAAGGGGTTGTATCTCATTTACCTGGGTGTACTATGGGGTTGCATATTATGTCTGACTGAGGAACTGTTTCTGTAAAACAGAAGGCATGTAAAATCACCACTCAGGCAATATTAACTGGGCATGCTAAATGGGAATGAATAAGACTGTCTGAGCCCATGCAGTATAGATTAGAGGTTGGCGTGCTGGCACAGACACATTCTCTGTGTAGCAACTTCATAAGGAGCTTAGAATGGGGCTTCTATATTATACTTCTTGGTGAGAACTATTGGGACTTTGGACTAGAAAATTTCCATTTGAGGAGCAATTACTAGCCTATATTAAGTATTAGTTGACACTGCTCCTATAATTAATAGGCAAAAAATAATACTAAAACTCAAAATACTCATTATGTCTTGGGTGATATAAGATAAACTATCCGATGGGAACAGCACTGCCCAGAATTGCCAAATAGAATTGAAATATTTTATAGAGGACCATGCTACTGAGAGAATGCAATGAGGAGATACTCATGAGCTGGAAGTTTCTTTTCCTCTAGGACTGACTTTGGAAGTGCTTGAGTTGCTGCTGGATTCTGCTGTCAATTGGACAGTGCCCTATAAACTGTTCTTGACAAACTAACAAAGAACTACTTGGTTTATGAAGAGTAATTCTAAGGGAATAGATAATATCCTGTTTGGAAGGCCACCACTTTGATAGAAGAAGGTATAAACAAATCAGCTCAGTAGGCTGAACTGCGTGCTACTGGCAACAATGTTTATATATATATATATATTTATATATATATATATTTATATATATATAAATATTTATATATATATATATATATATATATTTTTTTTTACCAATCTGGCCATACTGTCAGGCAGAAAGATGCCAGAAAACTGGTTTATTAAAGGGATGTCCATCTGGGGCAGGACCTGATGGGCATTTGAGGGGTGCATTAAATTAGAACATGTTGATGTCCATCAGTACTCCCTTTCAGGTTTGAATGGTGATTGAAATCATATCCCTGTGTGCTTACTGTGTTCCATGAGTCCATGAAAAATGGATACGGAGGTACCGAAGCAGTACAGAGATGGACTGAATCTAGACCTACTCCCCTTGCACCTTCTGAGGCAGAAAATGACAATAATACTTGTTTTTTCTGCCTGCAAAAGAAAGAATGCACATGGCTATGTGGCAGATTTCCCAGGGGAAAGGCCTGAACATAGCTGGCAAGTCAAACTGATGCCAGTAGCCTCAGGGTAGCTATAAATGGGTCTTGACAGTCATAGACACTGAAAGTGGACTGGGCTTTGCTTACCAAGTAGGAAATACAAACTTTCAGAGTGCTATACATTAACCAGAACAGATGATGTTGCACCAATTTAGACTGACGAGTCACATGTCTTTAGATCAAGAAATGCACTTTATAGCCCATAATGTTCATCAACAGGCAGTGAGATATTCTCCTCAGGGTAATAGTGTGATATAGAATAGGAATGGGAAATTAATATATTGATTGCCAAGATGGGCAGATAAAGACACGGAGGCCTGGCTTACATGCCTTCATGAGTGTGCGCTCATGCTCAACATGAGTGAGACCAAAGGTCTATCCACATTAGATACGTTCGTCTGCTTTCCTGGTGGAAATGGAGAGAAAGGCGTAATGGAGCGTGCTGCTACGATGACTATATTTATATTTTTTTCCTTTTTTGCCCACATTTCCTCAACTTTTCTTTTTTCTACCTGATGCAGCGATCACAGGAACTGATGCAGCTACAAATGCCAAAACAGAAATAATTTCTAAGCAAGAAACTCTAACTATATTTTTAAACCTTCATGTCAGAATTCCTAAGGAACTGATGCATCAAGTTTTATTTTTACCCTATCTGGCAAAACTGGGGTTTACAGTGAATGCTTCTGTGTTACCTAGAGGTCAAGATATCCCACTAGTTTTGTACGTACGTAAATCTACTATATATAAATGAAAACGGACTGAAGGGAAGAGACTTTTCTAGACTACTATTGTTATTTGCAATCTAGATCAGCACAGTGGCCAAACCTAATGTGCCTTCCAAAGTTTAAAAAGTTTGGGTATAAATGGAGAAAAGGAAGAATAGTTGCTAAGCGTAAAGGAATGAATAAACAGGTTATGTAATGAGGGAAATCTAATATTACATTTACACCTTGAAAGAGGTTCGGAGCAAGAGATGACATTTCCTCTTAGTTCAATCATATCAGATGCCTGAAAGGGTGATGCTGTATATTACTGAAACCACCTCTGCTTTCGGAACCTGACAAGATCAAATAGAAGCCCACAAACCTGAGTAAACTCTCTTTAGGAAGTATTTTCATACATTATAATGTTGAACTATACTAATTATTAATGACTGAATAGGTCTCTAGTAATATACCATTATCTTGTAACATTTAACATTTTGTTACATGGGATCCATGGTCAAAAACTAAGGGGTAAACTGTTATAATGAGAAATATGCTTGGTCTTCATTCCCAGTTCCTGGCACAGATTTTTTAAAGCTCTTAGAATTTCCTGAGTGACAAAAGTGCGTTTTGTTATTCATAATGAGGCCCTTTCGGTCACACCTTAGTTTTTGCTAATTAGGTGACAAGGTGGCAATCAAGATAGCCTCAGGTTGGGGCTGATCACTGAAAAGACCTAGTTATTAGAGGGTTGAAACTTTCAGACCCACCCCATTGACCTCTGGGAAGTGGAGGTGAGCAGGCTGGAGAGCAGGCTGTACAAAAACTCTTGAACAATGAGACTCAGTGACCTTCCAAGTTGCCGAACACACCCAGGTGCTAGAAAGGGCATGGAAACTCTATATACCACCGCCCTCCCCATGCCTTGCCCCACGCATCTTTTCAATTTGGCTATCCCTTATCACCCTCCTCCCCATGCCTTGCCCCACGCATCTTTTCAATTTGGCTATCCCTAAGTTGCATCTTTTATGATAAACTAGTAAATGTGAAAACAAAAACAAAAACAATTGGCCATAAATGCATGGGTTTATTTCTGAACTCTTCTCTGCTTTTAAAATGTAAATGTTTAATCCATTCAATGTAATGTAATCTTTTATAACTATTGGTTTAGGTTTACTATTTTGTTATTTAAAGTCAGCTTCATCCCTGGGATGAACAGCTGGTTCAACATAGGCAAATCAATAAACACAATCCATCACATAAACAGAACCAAAGACAAAAAACACATGATTATCTCAATAGATGCAGAAAAGGCCTTTGATAAAATTCAACACCCCTTCATGTTAAAGACTCTCAATAAACTAGATATAGATGAAACATCTCAAAATAATAAGAGCTATTTATGATAAACCCACAGCCAATATCATATTGAATGGGCAAAAGCTGGAAGGCTTCCCTTTGAAAACTGGTACAAGACAGGGATGCCCTCTCTCACCACTCCTATTCAACATAGTAATGGAAGTTCTGGTCAGGGCAATCAGGCAAGAGAAAGAAATAAAGGTATTCGAATTGGAAGAGAGGAAATCAAATTGCCTCTGTTTGCAGACAACATGATTTTATATTTAGAAAATCCCATTATCTCAGCCTAAAAACTCATAAAACTGATAAGTAAATTCAGCAAAGTCTCAGGATACAAAATCAATGTGCAAAAGCCACAAGCATTCTTTTACACCAACAATAGACAAGAAGAGAGCCAAATCATAAATGAACTCCCATTCACAATCACTACAAAGAGAATAAAATACCTAAGAATATAACTTACAAGGGATGTGAAGGACCTCTTCAAGGAGAACTACAAGCCACTGCTCAAGGAAATAAGAGAGGACACACACAAATGGAAAAACATTCCATCCTCATGGATAGGAAGAATCAATATCATAAAAACGGCCATACTGCCCAGAGTAATTTATGGATTAAATGCTATTCCCATCAAACTACCATCGCCATTCTGCACAGAATTAGAAAAAAATATTTTAAATTTTCTATGGAATCCAAGAAGACCCCGTATAGCCAAGACAATCCTAAGCAAAAAGAACAAAGCTGGAGGCATCACGCTACCTGACTTCATACTATACTGCAAGGCCACAGTAACCAAAACAAACAGCATGGTACTGGTACCGAAGCAGATATATAGACCAATGGAACAGAACAGAGACCTCAGAAATAACGCCACACATCTACAACCATCTAATCTTCGACAAACCTGACAAAAACAAGCAATGGGGAAAGATCTCCTCTTCGATAAATGGTGCTGGGAAAACTGGCTAGCCATATACAGAAAACTGAAACTGGACCCCTTCCTAACACCTTATACAAAAATTAACTCAAAATGGATTAAACACTTAAATGCAAAACCCAAAACCATAAAAATCCTAGAAGAAAACCTAGGCAATACCATTCAGGACATAGGCATGTGCAAAGACTTCATGACGAAGACACCAAAAGCAGTTGCAACAAAAGCGAAAATTTAAAAATTTGATCTAATTAAATGAAAGAGCTTCTGCACAGCCAAAGAAACTAGTGTCAGAGTGAACAGGCAACCTACAGAATGTGAGAAGATTTTTGCAATCTACCCATCTGACAAAAGTCTAATATCCAATATTTACAAGGAACTTAAACAAATTTATAAGAAAAAACAAACAACCCCATCAAAAAGTGGAAAAAAGATATGAACAGACAATTCTCAATGGAAGACATTTACACGACCAACAAACATATGACAAAAAAACTCAACATCACTGATAATCAGAGTAATGCAAATCATAACCACCATGAGATACCATCTTACACCAGCCAGAATGGTGATTATTAAAAAGTCAGGAAACAATAGATGCTCGTGAGGCTGTGGAGAAATAGGAATGCCTTAACATTGTTGGTGGGAATGTAAATTAGCTCAACCATTGTGGAAGACAGTGTGGTGATTCCTCAAGGATCTAGAACCAGAAATACCATTTGACCCAGCAATCCCATTACTGGGTATATATCCAAAGGAATATAAATCATTCTACTATAAAGACACATGCACATGTATGTTTATTGCAGCATTATTTACAATAGTAAAGACATGGAACCAACCCAAATGCCCATCAATGATAGACTGGATAAAGAAAATGTGGTACATGTATACCAAGGAATACAATGCAGCCATAAAAAGGATTGAGATCAAGTCCTTTTCAGGGACATGGATGAAACTGGAAGCCATCATCCTCAGCAAACTAGAATAGAAAACCAAGCAACACATGTTCTCACTCATAAATGGGAGTTGAACAATGAGAACACATGGACACAGAGAGGGGAACAACACACACCAGAACCTGTTGGGGGATGGGGGTGAGAAGAGGGAACTTAGAGGATGGGTCAATAGATGCAGCAAACCACCATGGCACATGTATACTTATGTAACAAATCTGCACATTCTGCATATGTATCCCTATTTTTTTTAAAGAAGAAATAAAGAAATAACAGTAATAGTATAATAAGAAATAACAGGATAATAGTATTATCCTCTGCTTGGCTTATCGGAAGACATTTATTCTATTTTATGGAATGAAATGTTGCCTGATTCTAGAATCACAAATAAAGCCAATTAAAATCTTTAAATTTGTTGTACTTTTTTTTTTGACACTCTTAAGTTTTGCTGTTAGACTTGCATCCCCATCACTTCACCAAACTATTATTCTGTAAGATAAAGACATTTTTCAATCAAAGTTTTTTTTTTTTTTCTTTTGAGATGGAGTCTCGCTCTGTCGCCCTAGCTGGAGGGCAGTGGCGCAATCTCCGCTCACTGCAAGCTCTGCCTCCCAGGTTCACACCGTTCTCCTGCCTCAGCCTCCCAAGTAGCTGGGACTACAGGCGCCCACCACCACGCCTGGCTAATTTTTTGTATTTTTGGTAGAGACAGGATTTTACCACGTTACAGGATGGTCTCGATCTCCTGACCTTGTGATCCGCCCGCCTCGGCCTCCCAAAGTGCTGGGATTAGAGGCGTGAGCCACCGTGCCCGGCCTCAATCAAAGTTTTTTTTACCTCTCACTGATATTTGTAACACCCATGCTCTGACTGCTGGTACTTAACAAGACTCTCCTGTTCTCCTCATCTTTCTCTCCTGTTCTTACCACTCTGTCTGCTCTTGTTCTGTTTTATGTAGGTTCATCCTCTTCCACCTGAACATTCAATATGAAAGTTTCTTAAGTCTCAGATGTAGGTAATCAATATAATATATGCTGATGATTCACACATTGATATATTCAGTCTCTGAGCCCTAGGCCCATATAGACTATTGCTCATGTGACATCACTTTCCTGCCAATTGTTTCATAGCTCTCTCAAACTCAAGACATTCCGGAATAAAATAATTCTCTCTCCTGAACCTGGTGTTCCATCTGGCATTCCCTGTATCAGTGCGTGATACCAGCACAGATACATTTGCACATTCCAAACCTAAAAAATCATTATTATGTACCTCTAACTCCCCTTTCCTCAACTCGTCACCATATTCTATCATTTTTATCTTCTAACAGTTTTTCAAATTGGTCTACTTTTTTCTGTCTCCACCACATCCTTTTAAATCCCAGTAACCATCATCCCTTATTAAATGTGATTCACTTCTTACTAAATGACTAGCCAAATATAGTTATGCATAGTGTTTAAATGTATCGATCTTGTAGCCAGTATGCCTGGGTTCAAATCCTGGCTTTGATACTTATTACCTTTATCACCTCCACTTACTGCCTCCTTGTTAGCTATTCTTAGTTCTGTACTTATGCCCTGGCATTTTATTCTTCACACTGTAGCCATGTTGATCTTTTTCAAAATATAAATTTGGTCACTTCACTTCACATAAGTGTTCCTTCCTCTATTAAAGAGGAGGCTTCCATTATGCTTAGAATAAAAGGGAAAAATTATGACATGACCTACAGGGCCCTACATAGTCTAGCATCTAACTTGTAACAGCTTCATCTCACATCATTCTTTCCTCTAATAATATCTGATCATGTACTCTTCTCTCTCCTGCCCTAAGGCTTTTGCATGAGCTATTTCTCTTTATAGAATGTTCTTCCCTCCCAATTTGCCTTCTTAACTCTTGCTCATTCTTCTGACCTCACTTTGAATGTCATACTTAAGGATTATTCCCTGACTTATCTAACTAGGTGTATCAAATTGCTTAAGGACTAATTTTCCAGTTGTATTGGTGGAGGTAGGAACACATTATTTTACTTCTAATGAGTGGATCTTCAGGCAGAGAATAAAAATCATAGGGAGCAGATAAAGATTGTGCACTTTCAGATGTTACCTTTAACTTCTCAAGGCTGTATGGAGAAGAGAGAATAGGATCCCTAAACAAATAAATGAGTTAAAGATTACAAATATTTCCCATTCCAATTAGAGTTTGGAGCACTTCCACAGCCAAGAAAGACAGATGAAGCCGTCATCACAGCTTATGATTTCTCAAGGAAATTGGGTCCTTTCTTGTTTGGTCCGATGTGGAATAGCCATCAGCCGGTCTAAGGACTGCCACATCAACCACATGGACGTGGTGCCTTAGGCTACTCCTTGGTGACATCTACCATGCCTGCCTCTTACAGAATAAGCTCAGTGCCATCCTGACTCTGAATGGGGGAAAATATCTACAAATTACTCCTCTGACAAATGTGACCAGGCAAGCAACAACTGTGTTGCTCAGGCGCCAATGAGGGTGATTAGACATTTGTGGGCTAATTTTCTAAGACAAATGCTCACCAATTTGTTTTGAAGACATATAGTCAGAGGTGGCATAAAGGGGGCTTCTGGGAAATGGATAATGTTCTATTTCTTGATTTTTTTTCTAATTTTTAAAAATTTGAGGTACACAATAGGTGTATATACTTATGGGGTACATGATACAGGCATGCAAGGTGAAATAAGAACATCATGGAGAATGAGGTTTCTATTCCATCAAGCATTTATCCTTTGTGTTACAAACAATCCAGTTACATTATTTATTTTGAAATATACAATTAAGTTATTATTAAGTTACCCTATTGGGATATCAAAAAGTAGGTCTTATTCTTTCTGCTTTTTTTGGACACATTAACCATTTCCACTTTCCTCCAAACCCCCAACTACCTTTTCCAGCCTCTGGTAACCATATATCTACTCTCTATGTCCATGAGTTCAATTGATTTTATTTCTAGACCCCATAAATATTTGAGAACATGCAATATTTGTCTTTCTGTGCCCGGCTTATTGCACTCAATATAATGCTCTCCAGTTCCATTCATGTTGTTGCAAATGACTGGATCACATACTTTCTATGGATAAATATAACTTCATTGTGTTTATGTACCACATTTTCTTTATCCATTTGTCCTTTGATGAACACTTAAGTTGCCTCTCAGTCTTAACTATTGTAAACAGTGCTGCAACACACACAGAACTGCAGATATATTTTCAATAATTTTCCTTTCTTTTGTGTATATACCCAACAGAACTTCTGAATCATATACTAGCTCAATTTTTACTTCTGAATCATATACTAGCTCAATTTTTACTTCTGAATCATATACTAGCTCAATTTTTACTTCTGAATCACATACTAGCTCAATTTTTACTTTTATGAGGTACATCCAAACTGTTCTCCATGTGGTGGTACTAGTTTACATTCCCACCAACAGTGTATAAAGGTTCCTTTTTCTCCACATCCTAGCCAGCATTTGTTACTGCCTCTCTTTTGAATATGAGCCATTTTTACTGGGGTGAGGTGATACCTAATTTTAGTTTTGATTTCATTTCTCACATGATCAGTGATGTTGAGTACCTATTAATAGGCCCATTTGCCATTTGTATGTCTCTTTTTGGGAAATGTCTATTCAAATATGGTGCCCATTTTTGATAAGATTTTTCGATTTTTCATAGAGTTATTTGAGATTCTTATATATTCTTATGAATCCCTTGTCAAAAGGGTAGTTTGCAGACATTTTTTTCCCATTCTGCAGGTTGTAACTTCACTTTGTTGATTGTGTCCTTTGCTGTGCAGAAGCTTTCTAACTTGATGTGATCCAATTTGTCTATTTTGCTTTGGTTGCCTGTGCTTGTGTGGTATTGATCAAAAAAATTATCGCCCCAACCAATGTCCTGGAGATTTTCCCCAATGTTTTCGTAACGTTGTTTCATAGTTTGAGGTCTTAGATTTAAGTTTTAAATTCATTTTGATTTGATATTTGTATGTTGCAAGAGATAGGGGTCTAGTTTCATTCTTCTGCCTATGAATATCCAGTTTTCCCAGCACAATTTATTGGAAAAACTGTCTTTTTGCCAGCATAAGTTTTTGGCATCATTGTCAAAAATGAGTTCACTGTAGGTGCGTGGATTCATTTCTGGGTTTTCTATTCTATTTCATTAGTCTATGTATCTGTTTTTAGGCCAGTGCCACACTGTTTTGGTTACTATATCTCTGCAGTGTAATTTGAAGCAAGGTAATGTGATTCCTCCAATTTTGTTCTTTTGCTTAGGATAGCTTGATCTAATCTGGATATTTTATGGTTCTGTATACATTTTAGGGTCTTTTTAAAATTTATATGAAGAATGTCATTGGTATTTTGATAGGAATTGTATGAATCTTTTGACTACTTTGGGTAGTATGAACATTTAAAAAATATTAATTCTTTCAATATGTGAACATAGAATTATTTTTTTCATTTTTTGCTGTCCTCTTCAATATCCCTATTTTATTGTTTTCATTATAGAGATCTTTCACTTTTTTGGTTTAGCTAATTCCCAGATATCTAATTATATGTGTGGCTATTGTAAATGAGATTACCTTTTTACTTTATTTTTCAGAGAGTTCACTGTTGGCATATAGAAATACTGCTGATTTTTGTATGTTAATTTTGTATTCTGCAACTTCAGTTAATTCGTTTATCAGTTCAATAGTTTTCCTGTGGAGTTTTTAGGTTTTTCCAAATGTAAACTCATATCATCTGCAAACAAGGATAGCTAGAGCTTCCAGTACTATGTTGAATAACAGTGGTAACAATGGGCATTCTTGCTGTGTTCCGGATCTTAGAGAAAAGGCTTTCAGCTTTTCCCCATTCAGTATGATGCTAGCTGTGATCTGTCATCTATGGATTTTATTACCTACCCAGTTTTTTTAGGGTTTTTATCATGAAGGGATGTTTACTTTTATCCAATGCTTTATTTTTAAGCATCAATTGAATTGATCCTATAGTTTCTGTCTTTTATTCTGTTATGATGTATCACATTGATTAATTTGTGTATGTTTAATCATCCTTGCATTCATGGAATAAATTCTACTTGGTCATAACGATCTTCCTACTGTTTTAATTCTATTTGTGACAATTCTGTTGAAGCTTTTTGCATTAATCTTCATCAGTGATATTGGCCTGTGGCATTCTTTTTTTCATGTGTCTTTGTCTGTTTTTGGTATCGGGGCAATTCTGGCCTGGTATAATGACTTTGGAAGTACTCTCTCCTCCTCTATTTTTCTGAAGAGTTTAAATAGGATTCTTTTAAAGACAAATATATAGTTCTATAGTTTCTTTAGAAGTTTGATAGAATTTGGCGGTGAAGCTAACATGTCCTGGGCTTGCTGTTACTGGGAAACTTTTTATTACTGCTTAGATCTTGTTACTTGTTATTGGTCTGTTCAGGTTTTCCAGTTTCTTCAGACTCATAGTAGTTTGTATGTAACTAGGAAATTGTCAATTTCTTCTCAATTTTTCAATTTATTAGCATCTAGTTACTCATAGTAGCCAATAATGATCCTTTGAATTTCTGCAGTATCAGTAGTAACATCTCTTTTTTTAATTTCTGATTTTATTGATTTATATTTTTTTAATCTGTCACTTTTCTTTAACTTTTGAAAAATCAACTTGTTTCACTGATCTTTTGCATTTTCATTTTCATTTCATTTATTTTTGGTCAGATTTTATTATTTCTTTTCTTCCACCAATTTTGCATTTGGTTTGCTCTTGCTTTTCTGTTAAAGTTGCATCATTAGATTGTTGATTTGAAGCTTTTTCTCTTCTTGATGTAGGCACTGATACATACAAACTTTTTTCTGAGTAGTGCTTTTGCTATATACCATAGGTTTTTGTACAATATATTTCCATTTTCATTTATTTTAAGACATTTTAATTTTTTTTTCTTAATGTTTGCATTGAACCTCTGGTCATTCAGGAGCATACTGTTTAATTTTCATTTATTTGCATAGTTTCCGAAATTCCTCTTTTAATTAACGTATAGTTTTATTCTGTTGTGGTCATGGAAGATGCTTGATATTTATTTCAAGTTTTTCAATATTTACAGACTTGTTTTGTGACCTAACATATGATCTATCCTTGAGAATAATCCATGTGCTGTGGAAAAGAATGTGTATTCTGTACCTCTTGGATGAAATGTTCTATAAATATTTATTAGATCTATTTGGCCTAGAGTGCAGATTAAGTATGTTTGTTGTTGTTGTTGACTTTTTGCCTGAAAGATCTATCTAATGCTGAAAGTGAGGTGTTGAAATCTCCAGCTATTATTTTATTGGGGCCTATCTCTCTATTTGGCTCAAATAATATTTCCTTTATATATTTACATGCTCCAGTGTTGGGTGCATATACATTTAAAATTGTTATATGCTCTTGCTGAATTGACCCCTTTATCATTACATTGACCTTTTTTGCCTCTTCTTCTAGATTTTTTTTGAAATGAATTTGGTCTGATGTAAGTATGGCAACTCCTGCTCTTTTTTAGTTTCCATTGGAATGGAATTTTTTTTGCATTAATTTATTTTGAGTCTGTGTGTCTTTATAGGTGAAGTGTGTTTCTTGTAGGCAACAGGTCAACAGATCTTGTTTTTTTCAATCCATTCAGCCAGTCTATATGAGAATTTAGTTCATTTCCATTCAATATTACTATTGAATAATATATAGGAGTAAGTAAATACTTACTCCTGTAATTTTGTTATTTGTTTTCTGGTTGCCTTGTGGTTCAGGACTGATTTTTACCTTTTGTCCCTTTTTTCAATGATATACTGTTAAAACTAGGTAGTATGAGTGCTCACCTTAATTTTGGTTCTTCTGAAGGTTTTTTTTGTGTGTGTAGATAGTTGGTAACTTGGTGTCTTTGTGGAGGGGACAATCAGTGAAGCTTTCCATTCTGTCATTTTTTATTTCTTTATTTGGGTGCTGGTTAAACGGATATGTGTATTTTTTTTATAGTTCATTGAGATATATTATTATATGTACACTTTTTTCCATTAATATTTCAATGAAATGATTTTTTAAAAGCAATCACTCATTATTAAAATATGGAATTGACACTGGAATTAAACCTTCTATATTATAATCAAGGTGCACAAACCAGTTTCGTATCTCAGAGGTAAAATATTCAACTAATTCAGAGAAAGTACTAGAGATTAAAAAAAAAAACACAAAAAAACAGTCTTCTGTAAAATGGCATTTGCTCTGGGGGCCCTAGCACCAAGCGAAAATTATTTCTGAGAATCCTAATGAAGACACTAATTTAAATCATGCTGTTATGATCTACTAATCACGTCACTTAGCATCATGTCATGTGGCACTGTTATTTTATACTTATCCTTGTGACTATTTAATTAACACCAGTCTTTTCCACAAGGGCACAATTACATTAGTTCCAAACCTGTATCTATAATACTTACTGATGAATCCCCAGAACCTGGCATAATATCTGGAATATCTTAGCCTCTCAATAAATATTGATGGAATGAATAGATCGATCAATGACTGAAACAAATCTATACTGCAAAAAATAAAAATAAAAAAAAGGTCAGGGCATGGTGGTAGCTGTAGGTGTTAAGTGGTAGAAAATTCTGCCTTCTTTAAACTGATTTAGAAAGACAATAGAATAGTTTCACCATGATAGTGAAAGAATGTCATTTACATCCTTTCAGTTCATGAGTTCTTTATAGGAACATCAGAACACTTTTATAGTTCGTATTTCCACATTCTGACTTGTTTTTCATCAATAATCCACCTAAAACTATACCATAAAAACAGTATGCCACATTCTACTGCTGGACTAATCACACGAAACAGAAGCATGGGAATGTGCCTTTCATTTGGATTTTCAGCAGAGAGCAAAATATTGCTTTGAGCCTTCCAAATCTCTCTGTAATATAGTACTGACAGATTGGAAAGTTAATTCATGACCTTGCAACATTTTTGTTCCCAAAAATAACAGAAATGAGAAATTTGTCTTTAACACATTCCTGAACCATCCAGATAGCTTTATATATACTTGTAAATGGTTCAATCTCATCTTCTGTTAGCCATTCCTTGTTATCAGGTATCTCTTTATATATGTAATTAAAAATAGGCCATCACTCTTCTGACATTAACAGCACACTAATACACCTTTCTTCTTCAAATGAATAACATCTCAATTGTCAATCAGCAGTACCTTAAGGTATCTTTTAAAATTTGCCAAGCATAACACACAATGAACCGCACATCACCCACATCTATAGATTAAAATCTTATTCAAGAGCCACTCAGAGCTAAATCATTACATGGATGACATAGCTTGTATACTACAATCTTGTTGAAGATTTTCACATGTCTCTAAGCTTATAGTAATGTTCTCAAAAGAGAAAAAAGGAATAAGTTTGTTCTTTTAGAAAAAGAAGGCAAAATTACAAATGTGTAGTGACTGATACAAGTAAGGATTCCTCTTTCAGAAAACAATTACATGATTTTAACAATTCAACATATGAATTTTAGGAGATACAATTCAGATGATTACAGAGCCCAACAGACCTAAGTCAGAATCTATACTACTTTTATGCAGCCAATTGACTTTAGATAAGTCAAACTCTGAGTATTAGCTCTTTTTCTCTATCCTTTAAAATCTTTTAGACACAATAAAATTAAGTTGCAGGGTTGTTGGGAAACTAAAGAATCAGATACCATTATAAGAACTTGTTTCAATTGGTGTTTGCTACACCACTGTTTCCTTCCTTGCCTACTCCATCTCCACCCCATTTTCATATGAAATCCAAGTGTTCCTGCTCTTCAGTCAATGTTCTATGTGCCCTTGAGCAGGTCAACTGTTCAAATCTTAGCTTTTCAACATTAAACTGAAAATATTGGGCTACATATTCTCTAAGAACCTAAGATTGAAAGAATCTATGATGATCACTGGCTGAAATGTGATGAGGGTGGTGAGTAGGATAGAGAAAATTTAATATACATATATATATAAAATATACATAAATAAATGCTAAAGTTTGTTTTGCCAGATTGTCTTAAGCTTCATTTCAAAATCACATCATATCAGCCTAACATAACATACTATAACATACCACATCATGGTTGTGTAAGTCCTTGTCTAGAAAAGTTAAACAGGCCAAGTGAAAAAAATAAAGAAGGTTCTATTTTATTGGAGTTTGTGTTCTGGAAGGAGCATATTCCTAATGTGATAGTATTAGAGGGTGAGGCCTTTGAGAGATAATTAGGTCATGAGGGTGGTGCCTTCATATGAATGAGGTTAGTGCCCTCATAAAGGAGACCTCAGAGATCCCTTGGCCCTTCTGATATGTGAAGAAACAAATAGAAGGTGCCAGTTACAATAAAGAGGGCATTCATCAGACATTGAATCGTCTTGGTCCTTTATCTGGGACTTCCAAGAATCTAGAAATGTAAGAAGTAAATTTCTGTTGTTTTTAAGCTACTCAGTTTACGGCATTTTGTTCTAAGCAGCACAAACAGATTAAGACAGAAAAGCAAGAGAGAGAAGTCCACTGAAAAGGGAGCAATTCTGCCCCACCCTCAGTTAGTAAAAGTTAAGTCTAAGGGTCCTTAAACAGAGAGTTCTGAAACAAGACTTAGTGCCCGCAATAATGAACCATCCATTCCCTTCACTTAAATTGCATACAACAGTGCCTGGCACAAAGCACTTGCTATATATAGAGGAGCTGTCGTGGTGGTGGTGGTGGTGGTCATGTTGTTGGTGGTTATAATTATTATTTTTGAGGCAAACTAAAGCCTTCTAAATTCTCCCACTATTCTCAGTGAAGAACAACATCACAATAATGATTGAGATGGAATTTCATACCAACCCGGAAACATGTGGCCTCAATGCCAGCATTAAGTTGATTTAAGGAAAACTTTAAAAATGCTTTTTTTTGCACACTTGAATATATGGGCTGAGATTTATATTTGCTAAATCAGTTTATGTCAAAACGAAGGGAATTATCCCGAGAGACCTGATAGCTAATCTATAGTACAGTACACAACAAATGGTACAGACCATTACCAGTTATGTGAAAAGTGAGCTTAGAGTGTGTTAGTGCTATGCAGTGAAAGAAACAGTAGCACTGACCTGCCAGGTATCTCTGCTGCCTACTTCGAGACATCAGAGTTATAAGATTTATTTCAAATACTGTCTGGAATATCAGAGCTCAGGCACAACAGGAAGACAAGAAAACAACCATACAGTTTGTTTGGTGCCAAACAAACAAAAAAGGTTAATTAAATAAGACAGCAAATCTATAAATAATTTAAGAATCAGTTGCCAGGAAATGCTTAAAATGTCAGGATACATTTTTATTTTTGCCTTTCTTAGAAAGTAATTGAAAACCAAAAGCACCATTCAAGATTTGAAAATAATAGCTTATGCAGCTCTTCTTGAGACACCTAGGAAAAGAGAAACTGGTCTCCAAGGGCTGTAAGCCTTTCATTCTTCATTGAGAAAGTTCACCCATGCCAACAATTTAGCACCAGCTTCTGATAGACCCATATTTTATTTATTATTTCTCGATTAATTTTTTTAAGCAGAGAAAACAATGTGACAGTATCAGGAGGCAGTAGCAATAAAAGTCCAGGCCCCCACAAAAGGGAGGTAAGAAGGCTGTTCTCTTCAGTTGGTCCTGCAAGGTCTTTTGCAACCTCCAAATGTAATCTACATTTATTAGCCGGCCAGATTAGAATACTCTCACCAAGATAGCAGAATTACAAGCCAAAATCTAAAGCTGACCTGGGGAAGAGTAAATTGTAGAAGAAAGATTTTGCGTTAGGCAGCATTCTCTAAGATGGCACTCAATGAGGCACATGTCCATGTATAATTCAGTCTTTTTCTTATGGGCAGAACCTGTGACTTCCTTCTAACCAATCAAATATGGCAAAGGTGATGGCAGAGTCACTCAAGTGCTTATATTACATTATAAAATATTCCATTTTAGCAGAATGGAGTTGTTACAGGATCTTTGTGGGTGTCACTTCACCAGCCAGAAACCTCTGTGGCCAGTGGTGCCGTTGCCTGAGTTTTGCTCTGGCCTGCTGGACTCATTCTGCCCACTCGGCCTGGCAGGCTGTGGTTGGCTTATGCTACCAGCCTGGATCCCACATCTTCCAAGGCACGGAGCAATGAGGGGTGCGTGAGCGAGCATGGGGTCCAGTTGCTGCACACAGCCAGGCACACTGGCTGCAGTGGGGCAGGCAGCTCCAGGTGCCAGCATGGGCTCCGGCTCCCTTCAAGGCTGTGGCTGGACCAGGCATACCATAAGAAGCTTCCACAGCTGACACCAGGGCATGCAGTGACACCCAAAAGCTTGGAGATGCCAGGAACTGCAAAGCCCTAAAGAAGGTGTCATAACCCTTGCTCAAGGAGCTCCAAGGTCTAGGCTCCCCAAAGGGCCACAGCACTTCTCTCCTTCTCTCTCTTCTTCTTCTTGTCATCTGCAATGTGGCAAGCAAGGGGCATGTTTCAGCCCTGGTTGTGTTACTGTTCTTTTAGCCCCCTCATTCAGTGGTTCCTGAGTTCTTGTCCTGTGTCTAGGAAGAATGAGGTACACAGACAAGTGGAGGGAGAGCAAGATGAAAAGGAGCTTTATTAAGTAATAGAACAGCTCAGAGGAGACCTACAGTGGGTAGCCCATCTCCATAGCCAGGGTGTCCCAATGAGTGTTCAGTTCTTAGCAGAGAGGGTAGCTCCTCTCTACTAGGCAGTTTGTCCCAACAAGTTTTCAGCTCTCAGCATATAGGATAGCTCCTCTCTGCTGGGAAGGTCATCCCAACAAGCATTCAGCTCTCAGCAGAGATGGTAGCTCTTCTCTGCAGGTAGGTCGTCCTATTGTCTCTTTGAGTCTGGCTGAGCTTGGGGCTTTTATGGGCCTCAGAGGGGAGAAGGTGTGTGCTGACTGGTCCATGAGCAGCCATGGGCAGTCCCAGAAAGAGCACCACAAGTTTCCACTCTGGTCCGTGGGACTGGCAGCCCAGTCCCAGGCTTCAAGCCCTCCCTGACTTGAAGGTGAGATTTCATGGGGGACCTGCCCCCTTCCACCCAGAAGCCTGTCTGCCTCCTGCTGCTGTATATGGCTCCTGGGCTGTTCATGCCAAGGGGCACCTGCAGGCCAGTGCCAAGCTGCCCTAAGCATCCACCTCAGCCTCCCTCCCATGCTTGTCGGTGCCCAAGTCTGGAGGAGGCTGAGGCGGCAGAGGCCTAGTGTGTCAGCACTGTCCCAAGCATGTGCACACCTGGCCAGGCTGCAACAGTGCCTGGACTTGGCTCCAACCCTGCTCTGAGATTGGAGCAGGAGCCGGGGATAGGGAGAGGCCAGGCAGCAGGAGAAGACACCTCTAAGCCTGAAGGAGCAAGGGGATAGTCTTCCCAGGTGCCTAAAAGTACAGAGATGCCTGGATCCACAGCTGTAGCAGGGCAGCTGCAGCTGCACCTGGGATGGCAGGACTCCTGCCTGCTACTGGCCCCCGAGAGCACATGGAGGCCCAGGTCCACGGCTGTGACTTGGGTGCCTGCAGCTGTGCCCAGGAGGGTGAAGATCCTACCTGCTCCTGGATCCAGCCAGCTCTGTGGAGCATGGCACCACCCTGGGCCCAGATCCGCCTTGGGGCCCTACACTGCCAACCCCTCCATGCCCAACCACATTGCTACCCTGCTGGTGGGTAACTCGATCTGGCCCCATCACGGCAGCTCCTAGCATGGTAGACTCCAGGGGGGCTCCCAGGGGTGGGATCCGGGGATTTCCCACCTTCTCTCTGCATTTTCCCTGCAACGGCAGCAGGCAAGGTTCAGGTGGCACTGGCCCCAGCCAACTCTGCAGAAACAAACTCGATGCTTTCAGGGATGGCCCCACCAGTCCTGGATGTGTCTTCAGCAAGGTGCTTGCAGGCTCCCAAGACAGGGTGGGGAGCGAGGCTGATACCACGGCAGAGGCTCTGGGGCCATATGAGGGTGGGGGTGGCACAGTCGGCTGCCTCAGGGATGCGGGGCACAGGGGACCCACCACCACCACTTCTGCTCCTACAGCCATTCCTGCTGCCACCATCTGTGCCTCCCTGCTACAGCTGGCATGATGTCAGTGACCACCTTGGACAGCCTGCCACTGCCATCATAGTGAGAAATTCTCCTGCTAGCTTTGAAGAAGCAAACACCATAATGTGAGTAGGCCTGTGAGAGAGCCATGTAGCGGGGAACCGTAGATGCTTCAGGAGCTGAGAGTAGCTCCGGAATGGCAGCCAAGATGAAAAGGGATATCTCAGTTCTACGACCACAAGGAACCTGATTCTGTAACTGACCATTTTTTAAAAGTATTTATTTATTTATTTATTTATTTTGAGATGGAGTCTCACTCTTTGCCCAGGCCAGCTGGAGTGCAGTGGTGCAATCTTGGCTCACTGCAACCTCTGCCTCCTGGGTTCAAGTGATTCTCCCGCCTCAGCCTCCCAAGCAGCTGGAATTATAGGCACATGCCACCATGCAGCTATTTTTTGTATTTTTAGTAGAGACAGAGCTTCACCATGTTGACCAGGCTAGTCGTGAACTCCTGACCTCAGGTGATCCAGCCACCTTGGCCTCCCAAAGTGCTGGGATTGTATACATGAGCCACCTCGCCCAGCCTCATTTTTAAGTTAAAAGATCACTCTAAGGCTAAGATGAGAAACAATTTGGCCAACATCCTGATTTCATCCTTGGAAACCCTGAGCAGAGGACTGAGCTATGCTTTTCCTGTATTTCTGACCCATGAAAACCGTGAGATAATAAATGGAGATTGTTTGAAGCCACTGAATTTGTTGTACTTTGTTATGCAACAATAGAAAACAGAGCAGATCAGTCACATCCTGGGATTAAATGCATAAAATAAGATTCTTATTCTGGAGCCTAAGTAATCTCTTAATTCTGGACCAATAAAGAAATTAATGGGAAGTCACATCTTTGTATAATCCCTCCAAGAAAATATAAGCTTCTGAATCTTACTGAAAAAATAGAATTATTTTTCACATCATTATTTCCAAAATCTTTCGCTGTCCTGTGACTCTAGAGGAAAGAGATAAAAATCCCCTTGTCAAGATTTCTCTGTTTATAACAGAAGGGCCTATAATTCCCCTTAACACCCAAGATTTGAGTAGATAATCTTAGTCTGTTATAAACAGGGCCCATAACATACCATGGTGAACTCTAGCATTCCATAGAAGAATTTCTTGAGTATTTCAACTGAGTCAAAGGAAATGTTTAGTGCAGGATTTCTCAACCTCAATCCAGTTGAAATTTGGGGCTAGATAATTATTTGTTGTGGGGGATATCTTGTGCACTGCATGGTGTTTAGCAGCATTCCTGGCCTCTACTCACTAATTTCCAGTAGCATCTCCCAAGTATTGACAACGAAATTTGTGTGCAAACATCACCAAATAATATCCTGTAGAGATAGAGGCAAAATTGTTCCTGGTTGAAACCACTGCATTAGCACAAGGTCTTTGTGAAACAACCTGAAGACCAATGGGAGGTGGTCATTGTGAGGGCATTTGAAGACTAATAAAAGCAACAGTCTCCCACAGAGCAGGCCATGGTCCTCCCTTTCTTTCTTCTCACTGTGACATAGTGCCTTCATCACCTTCCTTTCCATTGAACACTCTGTTCATTGGGAACTCGGATTCATCTGAGGCCCCAGGACACTCCATCACACTGTAAGTACTCTCCCCTGTTTCTCTCAGGGTGATCCTTCCATGCACATTTTCTCTCCTAATGTTCTAGCTTTTCAGTTTTAACACATACCTTAATACCACATTCTCCACCCTACAACCTTCACAGAGGCCAGTCAACTACTTCCGAGCCAAGTCTCTCCTCCACTGTCTGGAGTGAGATGCGGCTGCAGCTGTGCCCAGGAGGGTGAAGATCCTACCTGCTCCTGGCTCCAGCCAGCTCTGTGGAGCATGGCACCACTCTGGGCCCAGATCTGCCTTGGGACTACTCCGCCCACCCCTCCACGCCCAATTACATTGCTACCCTGGTGGTGGGTAACTCGATCTGGCCCCATCACGGCAGCCCCTAGCATGGTGACTCCGGGGGGGCTTCCAGGGGTGGGCACGTGGGCTTTTGCCATGAGACTATGCTAAACGATGAGCTTTCTGATATGGAGTTCTCTGTGCCCAAGAGTTCAGGCCCATTCCACTGAGGTACACTGACAGGCACACTGATTTGAATCAGCTCCTAAGCCTCTGAACACTCAGATTATAGGGTTAGAAAAGACAGACCTGGTGGCCTGAGGTGACATGTCCATTCTCACATCTCTTATCCACACAGAGTCCTCTGATTTGTCAAATTAGAGCTGTCAGGCTTCTGAAGTCTACATCCTCTGGCCACTCCTGACCTGACTTCAAGAGACTGGAGAAGCAGGAGAGGTGAGGGGTCCACCTCATTCATAGTGTGACTCCGAATAGTAAATGCTTCTTTCCTGTAAGAAGTTTTGTCCATGGAAAACTGTCTGAACCACAGTAGAAACTGCCAGTAAGACCCATTCTGAGTCACCAGTTACCCGTGGGATAAAGAAAATCAGTATTTATCCTCTTGCTGGGTACTTTATACAGGACAGAAGCTACTCTCTCACACCTTACTTTAGTCAACAATGTTACCATCCTACCTACGTGTGAAAATTGAATGGTGACTTATGGGAAGAGAGCCAGCAGTGAGCAAAGGCCTCTTCAATTCCATCAATGACATTCTAAGGGATCTGGAATTCTTATTATTTAACCTTCTGAACTATCTTGAGGAGATATGTGCCCTGCTGAGGCAGGAATAATGGTCATGGAAGGCATTTTTATTTTTCACCCTAGTTATTTTTGTTCTTAAATTTATATGTTTGTGATAAAAATTCAAACATTATAAAAATACATAATGTGGGAGTGACATCCTTACAACCCCAGAAAGACAATCGCTAATAGGATTAATGGTTCATATTTCTCCATTTTTCTTTTTATACATATTCAAACATATATTATTAATAGCATATTTCAAAGGGATTATACTATGCATACTGTTTTGTAATTTATTTTTAAATATGTACTGTGATCAGGTTTTTATGACGGTATATATGTCTTTACCTCATTCTTGTTAATGACTGTATGGTTTGCCTTTGTATGGATATGCCACAATTCCTTTAGTCAGTTTCTTACTGTTGAACATAACATTATTTCCTATTATTTTTAATTATTAAAAGAAGAATAAACCACCCTTGTCTATTACCCTCTGTACACAGTAGTTTTATAAGATAGATGCATACAAGTAGAAATACTGACTAAAAGAATAGGGGAATTTTAGTTTTAAAAAGTATTGTCAAATTAACCCCTCCCAAACTGTATTAATTTATATTCTCACTAAAAGAGTTAATAAGAATACTTAATTCTGCAGTATCTTGAAAACTTAGAGCTGGAAGAAATCATTTTTCCTCATTATTTGCTGAAACAATACGTGAAAAACAATAATCTCATGGTTACATTATTTCTCTTTTTGTAGCTATGTTACTTTTCATTATTTGATTATTATTGAAGTAGAATGTCTTTTAAAAAGTTTATTGACTGTGTCTGTGTGTGTGTGTGTGTGTGTATGTTTCTATTCTATTATCCTTTGCTCATTTGCTTTTGAGCTACTCATTCTTTTCTTGCTTATCAATATAAATTCCCTGTATATTGTGATATTTATCATTTCTCTGTTATATATACTTCATGTTTGCAGTGACTACAATATTTAACCTTCCCCATTGTGTATTTTGATGTACAATATTTTTAATTAATTAGCATATCTGTTCATCTGTTTATTATAGATTTTGTTTTCTTAGAAAAGTATTTTCTTTACAAAGATAATATAATTTTGAATATATGTGTGTGTATATATATGTATTTAACTAAAATATTTAATTTTACCAGAATATTTTAGAAGGTATGTCATAAAATACAAAATGAAACTTTCTTATATATAGCTATCCAATTCTCCCAACACAATTATGTCTAATTATCAAAAGAATAATAAACCACCTTTTTTTACTGATTTAAAATAGGTTATAATAAATTTTCACAAACACAAAAATCTGTTTCTGAATTATTCCCTTGATCTACTTGTTAGTTTGTGTAGCAGTACTACTCAGCTTAAATTACTTTCTTAGTATGTTTTCTCATCTTACAGGTCAATTCCCCTCATAAAATAAAAATATTTTGACAGTTCTCACTCATTTGTTTTTCTATATGATCTTTTGGATTCAACTGTGAAGTTTCGAACTATGTTATTATTTTCATTAAAATTTCAATAAATTTATAAATTACTTTGGAGAGAAACAACAGTTTTAAAATACTGGGATCCCCAGTCCAACATCATAATATGCTTCATCATTTATTCATGCTTTCTTGATAAATTCAACAAAGATTTATAGCATTTTCTTTTAAGATCTCACATACTCATTGTCAAGCTTATTTATGATTTATGAAAGTTTAGAGTTTAGGTCACTGTTACCAACGGAATTTTTAAAATATACTTTAAAATGGCTATTACTGGTATATGGGAAAAATATATGTGTATCTCCTTTCATGACCAGCTGATTAGTTCTGTAATATAAAAAAGGCTATACTGATTAATATTTAGTACCTCAAACATTTACTAATTATTAGAATATAAATTATAAACTATATTTTAATTATAAAATTAAGAATTAGGTATATTTTTCCATTCTTGCACTGCTATAACAAAATACATGAGACTGGATAATGTATAAGAAAAAGACATTTAATTGGCTCATGGTTCTACAGACTTTACCGGAAGCATAGTGGCCTCTGTTTTGAGGGAGGCCTCAGGGAACTTATAATCATGGCAGAAGGGGAAGCAGGCATGTCTTACATGACCAGAGCAGGAGCAAGAGAGAGCGAGGTGGGGGGAGAGGCTACACACTTTAATATAACCAGCTCTCGTGAGAACTCCCTTACTCTCATGAATACACCACCGAGGTGATGGTGCTAAACCATTCACAAAGGATCAACCCCCAGGATCCAGTCACCTCCCACCAGGCCCTACCTCCAACACTGGGGATTACAATTCAACATGAGATTTGGGAGGGGACACAGATTCAAACCATATCATTCAGCTTTCCCAATTTCCTTGTTAATTAAATGTATTCAATAATATTGTTGTATTTGATGTTAAATGAAGATGAGTTTATAGTTAACATTTTAATAAATACAACTGGGCTGCATGTGAACTACTGTGGGCACCATAGAAAACTATTTGAGTCCATCGTACAATATCAGTATTTTCAATTTCCCCTCTTACAGAGAGCACATGTCATCATGTGAATCAGAGCCTGACACATAGTAGGCCCAGAAGAAATGTTTCCTGCATTGTATACTGTGAGAAAATAGTGGTGGTAGTATTAGATCATAATTCAAAGATGCTAAAGTTCAATAAGAGTATATATGACATGATTGATTTCTTTATCTTGGAGCCTGCCTTTATCTCATAAATCTCTGTATGCTTTCTAATTTCTTGATTTGTCAAATAACGTTATGGAGAAATTATAGTTATCTTTTCTAAGGACTTACACTTTGTCCTATGTATTAACTCATTTAAACCTCACAACAATTCTTTGTGGTAGGTACTATCACTATATCCATTTTACAGATGAATAAACTGAGGCTTCTCAAGTTTCTGAACAATTTAAGTGATTTTCCCAAGGTCACACAGCTGGTAAGAAGAAATAGATCTTCACACAAGCCGTCTGGTTCCAGAGCCTGCTCACAGTATCTAGCTGCCTCTTTTTCCCACTGACTTTTTTTTTTGGATGGGGGACTCTTTTGAAAAATCTCTGCAAGGTGTATAAATTAAGTTGTCCGGATTGATAACAAGAATAAAGGTGATTTCATCTATTAAGAGTTTATTTCCAATGAACTTTCGACTGTCAATATTTTCCCCATGAGAATTAACATACATTCGGAGAATTTGGACTTACATTATCTTAAATGGTATTCTAATAACACAGGAAATTAATACCTAGGGAGAGGATATAATTCCCTAGGCTCACAGGAGGGATTAGTTGCAAAGAAGCAGGATCCAGGCCTTCTGTCAAAGGCTGATTTCACTATAATCACCTGGGAGGATACACAATTTTGCTTTTAGACACTGAAACGACAGGAAGTTCACTACCATTTGGATGGGCCAAGATATGGCTGGTAAATTATAGGTCAGGATATGGCTGGGAAATTATGCCTTTTATGAGGTAGAATGCCGATACTAGGGATCAATCCATCTCTAAAAGCACAAAGTGTCCTTCTACAGTCAAACTCAGAAACCAAAAAGTTAATCCACAAAAGCTAAACATCTGTTTGTACTTGGCTGTCTCCCAGCAAGTGAACACTCATTTTACTTGAGCTTTTGTGTTTTTCTTGCAAATGATAAACCTTTGGAAAATGTGAACATTTGTCCCGTTCATTATTGTGGTGAAACAAAGGTTTAGAGGAGAAAGAAGGGAGATTCAAACATTTTTGCAAACATCTCCCACAGGCCAGCTGGTAGAATTATTGGCAAAGAGTACAGGCAGGACTAAACAAATGCGAATTTAAAAAGAAGAGAGAGAGAGAGAGACAGAGAGTGTGTGTGTGTGTGTGTGTGTGTGTGTGTGTGTGTGTGTGTGTGTCTGTGTGTGTTTCCAGGAATCTGTTTATAATAGAAATTAGCCTAACCAAATGTTTCTGAGAACTATCACTCAGCATCATCATTCCAGCTGTGAAATGGTGCTAGTGAGGCAGACTATTCCCTATCATTGATCTAATGCAAAGGAGTAACCTCAATTAAAATAGTTAATGTGGCAAGATGGCCATCACCAGGTATATCAACATCTCCTGGCAGGTTCACATGACATATTAGCCTCCAGCCACTGAATGTGTAAGTGAGCGGGACTTGTTTATTATCCTGGAATGTTATAAACAAAGCAGATACAAATTTTGAATTAAAAGGACCTAACATATGTCTCTGTATAGAATATAAAGAATTTTAGATCACTTTGCTCTCCTCATGTAATTAAACATAATCCAGATGTTACGTAGCACAATATGAAATGAAGGCCTTGAGTCTTACTTTTGGAAATAGCCTTAGATTGGCAAACAGAATACATGAGAATTTTTGTAACATATTTTGTTCTCTACAAATCATATTCTCTGACTCACAAATTCCAGTATGTTATGTGCCTGTTCTCAAATGCAATAAAATGATTTTATTGTTTGATAACTTATGATAGCATAAAAATTTTTATAAGATGGCTGAATACGAAAAAGTATCTGTCTAGAATATAACATATTTCTCATAAAATAAACTTGCTACTAAATTAGTCATATGTAAAAATCCTGAATTGTAATAACTCAAATATAAGCATGGAAAACACACTGTGCCTCATGACACAACAATGCTGTTATTTTTAAAGATAGTTTTTCCAAAATAATATTTTGAATTTTGACTCATCAGGATGTCTGTGGATTTATTAGACTCAATCAGGCACGAAAATCTTTCTTTTCCAATACTTGGTAAGAAGAAATGTATATAGGGACCTGATAAAATTCAAACAGGTCTTTCCTTCTCTCCCTTTCTTTTTTTATATATTGTCTGTCATCAGAATTATCTTTTATTCTAATATGCTTCAAAATAATTTGTGTTATTTTCATGTCACTCACAAATATCCCCATTAAGTTCCACAGAGATATTCACACATATAAAACAGAATTATACAATAGACAATGAGACAAATCATTATTTCAAATTATTCCACCCACATCAAATAGCTTCACTATACCTAATTAGAAATTTATCATTTGAAAATGCTTTTTATAATAGGTAAGCTTTTTAAAACAAATAAAAACAGTGCTGACATTTTAGAAGAAAATTATTTTATACAGTATCAAATACCTTTTATTTTCACCCTTATTGGTGTTCTATAAACCATAATAAAAATCCGTATTTTATTGGCAAAAACACAGGAAAACTATCAGTACTACAAACATCTACAAGTGCACACACACACACACAGTCATAAATATAAGCATACACATACTCCCTTATACAGAACACAGAACGTTATAGGGGAAAATAGATATAGGCTTGAGAGGAGAGGTAGAACAACATGGTTTGATAGAGCCCTCCAGTAAACATGACCCCACAGGAACACCAAATTGAACAACTATTCAGCAAGAAAGCACCGCCATAAGAACCAAAAAATCAGGTGAACAATCACAGTACTTTGTTTTAACATCATAATTTTAAAAAGACATTGAAGATGGTAGGAAGGATAGTCTTGAATTGCCTACATCATCCATCCTGCAACCCTAGAAAGTTCAGTCTGAAGAAAGAATTTGTATGCTTGGGGGAGGGAGAGCAAAGTGAGTGTGGAAATTTACATTGGAACTCAGTGTTACTATGTCACACTGGAACACAACACGGCAGAATTCTGCGGGCACCCACAGAGAGAGCATTTATACCAGACCAGGGCCGAAGAGGAATCCTTTGCCCCAAAAGGAGAAACCCCAGTCCCAGAAGTCTTCACCACCAGCTAACTGAAGTGGCCTGAGGCTTTGAATAAATTTGAGTGGCAGTCAGGCCACAAGGTTGCAGTCCCTGGGCAAGCCTTGGGGCTGCACTGGTCTTAGAGTCAATGGGCTTGGTGTGTGGCCCAATACAACACCAACTGTGGTAGCTACAGCATTGCCTACATCATTTCCCCCCTAACTCCAGGCAGTGCAATCAGGAAGAGACTCTTTCCACCTGGGGAAAAGAGAGAGACGATTACAGAGGACTTTGTCTTGTAATTTGGGTACAAGTTCAGCCACAGTAAAATAAAGCACCAGGCAGATTCTTGTTGCCCGTAAGTCTAGGCCTTTGCTCCTGGATGGTGTTTTTGAACTTACCCTGGGTCAGAAGGTGATTTGCTGCCTTGGTGGAACAGACCCAGTGCCAGCAGTATTCATGACCTGCTGACTAAAGAGGCCTTGGCCCTTGCATAAACATCGGGGACAGCCAGAGAGTAGAGACCACAGGGCCTGGGTGAGCCCCACTACTGTGCTGGCCTAGGAAGCTAAGGACTTCTGGTGGGACCCATTAAGATGCCACGTTTCAGGGCCACAAAAGTGCCCACATCTCCTTTTCCCAAACTCCAGGCAGCTCATCACAGAAAGAGACTCCTTTTGCATGGGAGAAAGAGAGTGAGAGACATCACCTGAAAACCCAGAGAAGTCTTCCTTGTTTTCTTCAAGTCCACCAAGGCTGTGTATCTAGGAGTCTGCAAGTGTTGCAGAGTTACGGGGCTTACGTCACCCCCTAGTGCTAAAATGGCTGCAGTAACCATAGGCTTAGGTCATGATACTCAATTTCCTTTAAATTCTAGGAAAGTGCTCTCAAGAAAGATGGGTACAAACCAGCCCAAACTCTGAGAATAAATAACTAACTTGTTAAAACACAGACATAAACAAAGATCTAGAAGCATCAAGAACACCCAAGAAAACATGACCTCACCAAACAGACTAAATAAGGCACCAGTGACAAATCCTGGAATGACATAAGTATTTGACTGAAGATGGGGAATTCAAAATAGCTGTTTTGATAAGCTCAACAAACCAAAATAACACAGAAGGAGAATTCATAATTCCAACAGGTAATTTTTTTAAAAATTGAGATAATAAAATACATCAAACAGGTAGTCTGGAGCTGAAAAATTCAATTGGCAAACTAAAAAGTGCATCAGAAAGATCTGTTCCAATGATCCAAATACCAGCTTCGCAACTAGGATAGGGCACTGGGCAGAATCATGAGGCCCCCCCTTCCATGATCTACCTCCCAGAGGATATTTCTAGACATACCCTGAGCAAGAAGGGGACCTTCTTCCTTGACAAATAGGACTCAGTCCTGGCAGGATTTATCACCTGCTGATTAAAGAGCAGTTAGATCCTGAGTAATCAGCACCAACAGCCAGGTAGTATATGCTGTGGGTATTAGGTAAGACTCTGAGATGTGTGGGCTTCAAGGGTACTCATCACATTTTCAGCTGTGATAGCTACAGGAAGAGACTTATTCTGCTTGAGAAAAGCAGAAGAAATAGTAAAAGTGACTGTCCTGCACCTTTAGTACCAGGTCCACCATAATGGAGTAGAACACCAAGCAGGTTCTTAGGGTCTTCAATTCCAGGCCTTGGCTCTTGAATGGTGTATTATGCCACTCTTTCATTGCTATAAAGAAACACGTGAGACTGGGTAATTTATTTAAAAAGAGGTTGAATTGGCTCACAGTTCTGTAGGATTTACACAAAGCATGGTCCTGGCATCTGCTGGGCTTCTGTGGAGGTTTCAGGAAGCTAATAATCATGGCAGAAAATGAAGGGGGAGCAAACACATAACATAACTAAAGCAGGAGCAATAGCAGGGGAGGTGCCACACATTTTTAAACAACAAGATTCTGTGTGAAGTAAGAGAGAGAGATTACTCATCACCAAAAAGATGGTGTCAAGTCATTCATGAGGAATCCGCCCCAATGATCCAAATACCTTCCACCAGGCCCCACCTCCAATATTGGGAATTACAATTTAACATGAGATATGGGCAGGGACAAATATGCAAACTATATCATTCCATCCCTGGCTTCTCCCAACCCTCATGTTCTTCTCACTTTGAAAAATACAATCATGTCTTCCCAACAGTTCCCCAGAGATTTAACTCATGGCAGCATTAACTCAAAAGTTCAAAGTCTCATCTGAGACAAGGCAAATCTCTTCCACATATAAGCCTACAAATTTTTTAAAAAGTTATGTACTTTCATGATACAATAGGAGTATAGGTATTTTGTAAATATTGCCATTCCCAAAGGGAGAAACTAGCCAAAAGAGGCTACAGCCTCCATCCAAGTCTGACACACAGCACAACAGTCATTAAATCTTAAAGCTTCAAAGTAATATATGAATCCATGTTACACATACAGGCACACAGGAGCAAGGGGTGGGTTCTCAAGTCCTTTGTCAACTTCACCCCTGTGGCTTTGCAGGGTTTAGCCCCTAAGACTGCTCTCACAGGCTGGAGTTGAATACCTGTGGCTTTTCCAGGAGCAGGGTGCAAGCTACTGGTGGATCTATCATTCTTCGGTCTGGGGAATAATGGACCCCTTCTCATAGCTCTGCTAGGCAGTGCCCAAGTGAGGACTATGTGTGGGGTCTCCAACCCTGCATTTCCCCTTTACACTGATCTAGTAGAGGTTCTCTGTGAGGGCTCCACCCTTGCAGCTGGTTTCTGTCTGGACACTCAGATGTTTCCATACATTCTCTGAAATCTAGGCAGAGCCTCCAAAGCCTCCTTCATTTTTGCATTCTGTGCACCTGCAGGCCTAACACCACATGGAAGCCTCCAAGGCTTATGGTTCAAACCCTGTGAAGCAGTAGTTTGAGCTGTATCTGGGGACCTTTGAGATGAGGCTGGAGCCACAGCAGTTGGGATGCAGGGAGCAGCATCCCAAAGCTGCACAGGGCAGCAGGGCCCTAGGCCTGGCCCTGAAATTATTCTTTCCTTCCAGGCCTCTGGGCCTGTTTTGGGAGGGGCTGCCACGAAGGTCTCTGAAATTCTCTTGAGGCCTTTTTCCTATTGTCTTTTCTATTAGTGTTTTGGCCCCTTTTAGTTATGGAAATGTCTCTAGCAAGTGGTTACTCTGCATCCTGCTCGAATTCCTTTTCCGAAAAAGCTTTTTTTTTTTCTTTGTGTGTCACATGGCAAACCTACAAATTTTCCCAGCTTTTACTCACTACTTTCCTTTTACACATATACACTGCAACTTTAGGTCATTTCTTTGCTCCCACATCTGGGCATAGGTTGTTAGAAGCAGCCAAGACACATCTTAAATGCTGCTTAGAAATACATTCTATCAGATACCCTAGGGGATCACTCTCAATCTCAAGCTTCAGCAGATCCCTAGGGCATAAAACGAACGAAGGCAATTTCATTGCTAAGGCATAACATGTGTGAACTTTGCTTCGGTTTCCAATAAGTTCCTCATTTCCATCTGACACCTCCTCAGCCTTGACTTCACTGTCAATATTACTATCAGCATTTTGGTTACAGCCATTTAAACATTCTCTAAAAAGTTTCAATCTTTCCTTCTTTTTCCTGTCCTCTTATGAGCCCTCCAAACTCTTCCAAGCTCTGCTCATTATCCTGTTCCAAAGTTGCTTCCATGTTTTAAGGTATCTTTATAGCAAAGCCCCACACCTCTGGACCAATTTTCTCTATTAGGCCATTCTTGAATATCTATAAATAAATACAAGAGACTGGGTGATTCAGAAAAAAAAAAGTTTAATTGACTAATGGTTTGCAGGCTTTAGAGAAAGCATGGTGCTAGCATCTTCTTGGCTGCTAGGAAGGTCTTGGGAAGCTTAAGATCACAGTGAAAGTGAACGTGTGAGCAGGTATGTCACGTGTTGAATGCAGAAGCAAGAGGAGGGGAGATGCCACACACTTTTAAACAACCAGATCTTCTGTGAACTCAGAGTGAGAGCTCACTTATCACCAAGGGGATAGTGACAAGCCATTTATGAGGGATCTGTTTCTATGACCTAAAATCCTCCCAACAGATCTCACCTCCAATACTGGGGATTACAATTCAACATGAGATTTGGGTGGGGACAAACATTGAGACTATCCGATGGAAGTTTGGACCTTTCCTGGGCCAGAGGGGAGGCCACTTCCCTGAAAGGTGAGTCCCAGGCTTGGCAGCATTTACAACAAGTGGACTTAAGAGCCCTTTATCATGAGTGAACATGATTGGTAGCCAGGCTGTACTCTCTGTGGACCCCTGGTTTCAGTGGCCATGGAGAGAGACCACTCTGCTTTTGGAAATGGGAGGAAAGAATGAAAAATAATTTGTCACGTGGGTTGGGTGTCTCGTGGGTCACAGTAGAATAGACCAAATGATAGTTTCCTAAGGTTTATGATTCCAGGCCCCGGCTCCTAGATAGCATCTGAGAGCTGCTCAGTGCCACAGAGAACTTGCCACCCTGAAACGAGGGACACAAGACTGGCTGGCTTCACTACTGGCTGATTGTGGAGCACTAGGGCCTTGAGCAAACATAGACGGTAGCCAGGTAGTAGTTACACCAGGCCCTGGGCAAGATGCAGTGTTGTGCTGGATTCAGCTCCAACCCAGCAGAGTTTCACTGGAGGTTGCAACAGGGGTGCTTGGGTCAACCCTAACCAAGCTCCACGTTGCTCAGCACAAAGAGAGGGACTTGATTTGTTTGGAAGAAAGTAAAGGAAGTAAAGAAAAGTCTCAAATTGGTGATCCAGAGAATTCTTCTGGATCTTATCCCAAGGCCACCAAGGTGGTACCTCTGTAACTCTTCAAGATCCACAACATTACTAAACTTGGGGTGCCCACTTGTGCAGATTCAGCTGCAGTAACTAAAAACTTAGACTGCAATACCCAAGACTCTTCAAATATTTGGAAAAACTTCACAATAATAATGGGTACAAACAAGTGGTATCTCTACAAGTTTGCAAGTGCTGCAATGTTACTGGGCTTGAGGTGGCCCCTAAAGCAGAAACAGCTTAGATCACAACACTCAAATCCTTTTAAATACCTGGAAAGCATTCCCAAGAAGGACAGCTACAAATAAACCCAGACTATGAAGACTACAATGAATACGTAATTCTTCAGTGCCCAGATATCAAGGAATATCCACAAGCATCAATACCATCCAGGAAAATGTGACCTCACCAAATGAACTAATAAAAAGCACCATGGACCGATCCTGGAGAGACAGAAATATATGAACTTTCAGACAGAATTCAAAATAGCTGCTTTGTGAAAACTCAATGAAATTCAAGATAACACAGAGAAGGAATTCAGAATCCTATTAGATAAATTTAAAAACAACACTGCAATATTTTTTAAAAATTACCAAGAATTCTAGAGTTAAAAAATGTAACTGACATACTATAGGATGCATCAGAGTCTCTTAATAGCAGAACTTATCAAACAGAAGAAAGAATTACTAAGTGAGCCTGAAGACAGGCCATTTGAAAAAACACAGTCAGAGGTAAAAAGGAAAACAAATACAAATGAATTAAGCACACCCACAAGATCTAGAAAATTGCCTCAAAAGGGCAAATCTAAAGAGATGATGGCCTTAAAGAGGAAGTAGAGAAACAGAGAGAAAGAAAGAAAATTTATTCAAAGAGATAGTAACAGAAAACTACCCCAAACTAGAGAAAGATACTAATATTCAGGTAAAAGAAGATTATAGAATACCAAGCACATTTAACCCAAAGAAGACTACCTCAAGACATTTAAAAATGGAATTCCTAAAGGGCAAACATAGAGGAAGAATCCTAAAAGTGGCACAATAAATAAAACAAATAACATACATTGGTGCTCTAATATGTCTGGCAGCAGACTTTTTACTGAAAACTTTACAGTCCAGGAGACAGTGGCATGACATACTTAAAATGTTGAAGGAAAAGCTTTTTACCTTGGAATAGTATATCTGGCAAAAATATCCTGCAAACATAAAGGATAAATAAATACTTTTCCAGACAAACAAAAGCTGAAGAATTTCATCAACACCAGATCTATCTTATAAGATATGCTAAAGGAGGTTCTTCAATTTTAAAGAAAATGATGTTAATGAGCAATAAAAATTATCTAAATGTACAAAACTCACTGGTAATTGTGAGTACATAAAAATACAAAACATTTTAACACCGTATTTGTGGTATGTAAACTACTCATACCTGGAATAGAAGGTCTAAAACATGAATTCATCAAAAACAATAACTGCAAAATTTCTAAACATATACAGTACAATAAAATAAATAGAAATAACAAAAAGTTAAAAAATAGAGGAACAAAACTAAAGTATAGGGTTTTTTAAAATTAGTTTTCTCTAATAGTTCGTTAGTTTATGCAATCAGTGTTAAGTTGCCATGAATTTAAAATAATGGGTTATAAGATATTATTTGCAAGACTCATAGTAACCTCAAATTAAAAAAATAAAATGGTAACACAAAACATAGAAAGCAAGAAATTAAAAATGCAACCAAAGAGAATTATCTCTACTAAGAGCTAGATAGGAAGGAAGAAAAATAAAAATGAAGGAAGGAAGGAAGGAAGGAAGATAGGATCTGAAAACAACCAGAAAACACATAACGAACTGGCAGAAGTAACTCCTTACTTATCAATAATAGTATTAAATGTAAATGGAAAACCTCTCCTATCAAAAGAACTACAGGGGCTGAATGGATTAAAAAAAAAAAGGCCCAATATTCTGTTCCTTATAAAAAACACACTTTACAAAGACATACACAGGCTGAAAATGAAGGAATGAAAGAAAATATTCTATGCCTATGGAAACCAAAAAAGAGCAGCAGTATATATACCTACATCAGATGAAATAGATTTCAAGAAAACAACTGGTAAAAAGAAACAGAGATCATCATATAATGGTAAAGGAGTCAATTCAGTAGGAGGCTATAACAATTGTAAATATATGTGCACCCAATAATAGACGTCTCAGGTACATAAAGCAAATTTTTTTTTTTTTCTTTTTGAGACGGAGTCTCGCTCTGTCACCCGGGCTGGAGTGCAGCGGTGCAATCTCCGCTCACTGCAAGCTCCGCCTCCCGGGTTCACGCCATTCTCCTGCCTCAGCCTCCCGAGTAGCTGGGACTACAGGTGCCCGCTACCACACCTGGTTATTTTTTTGTAGTTTTAGTAGAGACGGGGTTTCACCGTGTTAGCCAGGATGGTCTCGATCTCCTGACCTCGTGATCCGCCTGCCTTGGCCTCCCAAAGTGCTGGGATTACAGGCGTGAGTCACCGCGCACGGCCATAAAGCAAATATTTTTACAGCTGAAGAGAAAGATAGACCCCAATATAATAATAGCTGGAGACTTCAATGCCCCATTTTCAGCATTGGACAAATCTTCCAGACAGAAAATGAACAAAGAAACATTGGACATAATCTTCAGTATAGAACAAATAGACCTAATAAATATTTACAGAACATTTAATCCAATGATCCAATGGTTACAGAATACACCTTTTTTCCTCAGCACATAAATTAATCTCAAGGATAAACCATATGCTAGGCAATAAAACAAATCTTAAAACATTCAAAAAAATGAAATAATATCAAGTATCTTCTCTGACCACAAATGAATAAAACTGTAAGTCAATAACAGGAGGAAATTTGAAAATATACAACCATGTGGAAATTAAACAGTATAATCCTGAATGACCAGTGGGTAAATGAAGAAATTAAGACAAAGATGAAAAAAATTCATGCAAATAATAATGGAAATACAATATATCAAAACCTATGTGATACAGCAAAAGCAGTACTAAGAGGAAAGTTTATAGCAGTAAGTGCCTACATCAGAAAAGAAAAAAAAAACTAAAAAAACTGTACAATGCATCATAAAGAAATAGAACAGCAAGAACAAACCCAATGCAAAGTTAGCAGAAGAAAAGTAATATTAAGGATCATAGCATAAATAAATAAACTTGAAACAAAGAAAACAATATGAAACACCCACAAAGCAAAAAATTGGTTTTTGAAAATGTAAACAAAATTGACAAATGTTTAGACAGACTGATGAAAAAAAGTGACAGAAGACTTAAGTACCGTCAGAGATAAAAAAAAAAAAAAAACAGTACAACCAGTACTGCAGAAAATCAAAGTATTACTAGAGATTACATTGAGCAACTATATGCCAATAAATTGGAAAACTTATCAGAAATTGAAAAATTCCTAGACACATCCAACCCACCAAGATTGAAACATAAAGAAATCCAAAACCTGAACAGACCAATAACTAGTAACAAAATTAAAGCCACAATAAAAAAGTCTCCCAGCCAAAAAAGTCCAGGATCAAATGGCTTCACTGCTGAATTTTACTAAACATTTAAAGAAAAACTAATACCAATCCTACTCTAACTATTCTGAAAAACAGAGGAGGAGAACATGCTTTCAAACTCATTCTCTGAGGTTATTATTACCCTGATACCAAAACCAGACAAAAACAAAACAAAACATATGACCCTGATGGGCATTTATGCAAAAATCCTCAATAAAATACTAACAAATCAAATTCAGAAACACTTTAAAAAATTATTCATTATGACTAAGTTGGATTCATTGAAGGGATGCAAGAATATTTCTCTATACGCTAATCAAACCACGTGATACATCATTTCAACAGGATGAAGGACAAAAATTGTATAGTCATTTTCATTGATGCTGAAAAAGGATTTGGTAAAATTTAACAAAAATCCTAAAAAATAGGTATATGAAAAACATACATCACCGTAATAAAAGTCATTTATGCAGACCAACAGCTAGTATCATGCTGAATGAATAAAAACTGAAAGCTTTTCCTCTTAGATCTGGAATATGACAAGGATACCCACTTTCACCACTGTTATTCAACATAGTACAGGAAGTCCTAGTTAGAGAAATCAGATAGAGACAGATATAAAGGACATCTGCATTCAAATGGAATAAGTGAAATTATTTTTGTTTGCCATTAATATAACCTTATATTTGTAAAAACCAAAAGATTCCACCAGAAATGTATTAGAACTGATAAACAAATTCAGTAAATTTGGAAGATACAAAATCAATAGCATGCCAATAGTGAAAAACTTGAAAAAGAATTAAAAAAGTAATCTCATTTACAATAGCTGCAAGTAACATTGAATATCTAGGGATAAACTTAACCAAAGAAATTAAAAGTCTCTGCAATAAAAACTATAAAACATTGATGAAAGAAATTATGAGGACACAAAAAACTGGAAAGATATTCCATGTTTATGGATTGGAAGAATCAATATTGTTAAGTTGTCCATACTACGCAAGGCAATCTATGAATTCAGTGCAATCCTTATCAAAATACCAATGACGCTTTTCACAGAAATAGAAAATGCCATGCTAAAATTTACGTTGAACCACAAAAGACCCAGAGTAGCCAAAGCTATTCTGAACAATAAGAACAAAACTGGAGGAATCACATTACATACCTTCAAGTTATACTATAGAGCAATAGTAATCCAAACAGCATGATACTGGAATAAAAAGAAACACACAGGCCAGTGGAACAGAGTGAAAAACCCAGAAACAAATCTATACATATACAGTGAACTCATTTTTGACAAAGGTTTTAAGAACAGACATTGGGAAAAGGACAGTCACTTCAATAAATGGTGATAGGCAAACTGGATATAGATATACAGAAGAATGAAACTGGATCCCTATCTCTCACTATGTAAAAAAAAAAATCAAACAAAATGGGCAAAAGAAAGAAAAATAATCAAATCAAAATGGATTAAATAATTAAATCTAACACCTTAAACTATGAAACTACTAAAAGAGAACATTGGGGAAATTCTCCAGGACATTGATCTACACAAAAATTTCCTGAGTGATACCCTACAAGCACAGGCAACCAAAGTAAAAATGGACAAATAATATTACATCAAGTTAAAAAGCTTCTGCACAGCAAAGGAAACAATCAATAATGTTAAGAGACAATCCACAGGAGAAAATATCTGTAAAATAACCACGTGACAAGGGATTAATAACTAGACTATATAAGGAACTCATACAACTCAAAGGGAAAAAATCTAATAATCTGAATTAAAAATGGCAAAAATCTGAGTAGACATTTCTTAAAAGAAGACATACAAATGGCAAACAGGTATACAAAAGTGCTGAACATTACTGATCACCAGAGAAATGCAAATCAGAAGTACAGCATGGTATCTTCTCACCCCAGTATAAATGGCTTTTATCGAAAGACAGGTGACAACAAATGTTGGTCAGGATATGGAGAAAAAGAAACTTCTGTACAATGCTGGTGAGAATGTAAATTAATACAACCACAGTGGAGAACAGCTTTGAAGGTTTTTCAAAAATCTAAACTAGAGCTACCATATAATCCAGCAATCCCACTGCTAGGTCTATATTTAAAATAAAGGAAATCAGTATATGGAAGAGATATCTGCACTCCCATGTTTATTGCAGTACTATTCACAATAGCAAAGATTTGGAATCACCCTAAGTGTCTATCAACAGATGAATGGAGTACCATTCAGTCATAAAGAAGAATGAGATTCTGTCATTTGCAACAACATGGATGAAACTGGAAGTTATTGTTTAGTAAAATAAACCAGAAACCAACAAACTTTGCATGTTCTCAGTTATTTTTAGGAGCTAAAACATAACACAATTGAACTAATGGAGATAGAAGGTAGAATGATGGTTACCAGAGTCAGGGAAGGGTATTGGGGGTGGGGGATCATGGCGACGGTGGGGGAGTAGAGATGTTTAATGGGCACAAAAAAATAGAATGATTAAGATCTAGTATTTGATAGTACAACAGGGTTACTGCGGTCAATAATAATTTAATTTCATAAAGTAAAATTGTATAATTGGATTGTTTGTAACACGCAGAAATGTGTGAAGTGATTAATACCCAATTTTCTCTGATGTAATTATTATTCATTATATGCTTGTATCAAAATATCTTATATACCCCGTAAATATATACACCTACTAGGTAACCACAATAAGAAAAATGTGTAAAGTAAGAAAAGATGACATTCTTCACAGAAATATAAATAATTCTAAAATGTATATGGAATCACAAAAGACCCAGAATTACCAAATCAATCTTCAGCAAAAGAACAAACCTGAAGGCACTGTATGTGTTACCTGACTTCAAATTATACTACAAAGATCTGGTAACCAATACAGCATTGCACTGGCATAAAAACAGACACATATTCCGATGAAATAGAGAATGGAGAACCTTAAATAAATCTATGTATTTACAGCCAACTCGTCTTCAACAAAAGTGCCAAGAAGGTATGCTTTGTGAAGGGCCGTGTATGTAAAATGACCCCCAAATGCAGAGGAGCTGAGAAAAAATAAAGAAAGATAAGTCCAGCTTGTCATAAGGTGGTTTTATTTGGTAACTTATGAACAGAAATATGGTCTTTGGTTGCCTCAAACAGGTAGATCTCCACACCATCACCCACTAGACCCAGTAACTATATACCCTAGGGACAGGCACACGTACTTCAGGGGAATGGGTAGAAATTTGCCCAAAGGGCAGGGTTTACAGTAAGTCTGAGCTGATCAAGTTCAATTTGATCTAAGGGCAGAATTTATGCTAAGTACCTATTCTTACACAAGGAACAAGAGATAAATTGGAAATCCCATAGGCATTCCTGTAACCTGAGTTAATTAGAAATTAACATGGCAGATTAGTTTCAAAGATGGAGTTACCTTATCCTCCACAGTCCACCCCTCTAATCTGGCTCTTACAATCTCACATGGCCTTCTTTTTGCAATGGTCCCTGGGCCTTTATTTGAAGAGGTTGTGGATGACATCAGTTTGTTTTCTACTTGAAGAAGAGTCTGCAGCAATAATCCAGACAATAGCAGGCAATAACACCTATGCCAAGTAGATACTTTTTGCTTCCTGGCAAGAAATATCTTATTCACCCTAAGGGGAGATGTCAATTCAACCCCCATTCAAATGTCCCCTACTCCAGCTAAAGATCTTGGGGAGTCCTAAAAAACATTTGCTATTCACCCTTTATCAGCTCTGGTAGAGATGCATCTGGTCAAACTTTCTTTTTTCCTTTTCAATTTATTTATCGATTGTGTTGTATTTTATTTTATTATTATTATTTTTTGAGACAGGGTCTCCCTTGTCACTGGCTGGAGTGAAGTAGTGTGATCTTGGCTTACTGCAGCCTCAACTTCCTGGGCTCAAGCAATTCTCCCGCTTCAGCCTCCCGGATAGCTGGGAATACAGACATGCATTTTTGTATTTTTTTGTTTGTAGAGATGGGTTTTCACCATGTTGCCCAGGCTGGTCTTGAACTCTTGGGCTCAAACGATCTGCCTGCTTTCACCTTCCAAAGTGTTGGAATTGCAGGGGTAAGCTACCATGTCCGGCCTGAAATTTCTTTACAACCATGGTTAACGGGCACTCCTTTAAAGTCGTCCCAAGTCCTTGGTAGGGTGCCAGCCCTGTACTTACCTCAACTGAATTAAGTTTCCTAAAAGCTTGAGGAAAAACCTTTACCCACCAAGGCAAGGTATTGAATTATGAAAGTGCCCAAAGTTGTTCCTTGAAAATGCCATTTTTTCCTATCAATCAACCCTTCCACTTGGGGATTGTATGGCAAGAAAAATCTCCAGTCTATATCTCTTTCATGTTCCCAATCTTGTACCTTACGTTCAGTGAAATGCTCACGTCAGTTGCTATTAATGCAACGAGGGTATTTATCCATGACACTGGGCTGCCCCAAGCATTTAATGGTGGCTGTTTGGTTTGTCATTTTTGCAAAGAAATGTGTGTAACAATCCCATGGCAATGTCTACACGTGTTGGTGCACACTTTTGTCCCAAGTTTACTGGCAGGAGTTTGATGTAGTCTACCTGCTAGCCTCTCACATGGCTGGACATCTTATGAATTTGTCCAGGTGTATGTGGGATGTGGCAGGGGAGCCGTCTGTTACTTGTGACACTAAATCTACATAGTGGAGAGGCATATCTGCTCCTTTGGATATCTGCCAGCCCACACGTGTACTGCAATGTTTATGTACCCAATTAGCTAGCTCAAATGACTGCAAGAGAGCCAGCATTCTAATATTCGCTATAGTATCTGCCTCCATGTTACTGAGAGGTGAATCTGACCAGTGTGCTGAAACATAATACACATTTAGCCTCATGGTGGGTTCTTGTAGCCTTTCAAATATCTTTCCACATAGCAGCTCCTCATAAGGGTTTATTGAGGACATACCAGTCATCTCGGTCCCACTGGGCAAGCCAAGTGGAAAGATTCTTAAATACAGCCCAACTGTTTGTACAGAGGACTATAAGCCATAACTCCTGGGTACAAACCAACCACAGCCCAGAGTTCTGCCCATTGACTGCTTTTCTGTGCTACCATTTCAAACCATATGGTATCTGTCTGTGGTTGTACAGGTACTGCCTTGTATATACAAGGGTTACTTCAGCTGCACCCATCTGAGGACCAAGTGACCCCTAGGAACTTTACAGCTGGTCCTAGGCCTTGTATCTTTTATGGATTGATGGCTCATCCTCTGGATTGGAGACAGGAACACAATAAGTCAAGGTGTTGTCATAGCAATGACAAGTCTTCGGAGGTCAGCATAACATCACCAATGTAATGAAACTATTTTACAATAGTGGGTGGTGGACATATAGTTAAATCTCCAGGAATCAATCCATATCAAATAGTGGGGCCATGTAGATTTCCCTGAGGCAACAATTGGAATGTCCATTGCTGGTCATTCCAAGTAAAAGCAAATTGATCCTGTGAGTCAGGATGTAAAGGGATACTGAAGAAGGCATTGACTAGACCTAATGCAGTAAGTTAAGTGCCTATAGTTTGTATTCGTTTTCCTATCAGCTGAGTTATATAGACACTGCAGCATACATTTTGGGAGCCAGCTTATTTAATTCCTGGTAGTCTATCATTGTGTACCAGGTGCCATCAACTTTCTCCACTGGTCATGTGGAAGTACTAAATGGGCTCTGGAGTGGTGGAATCATATTAGCTTTGGCCAGCTCCTGTACAGTGGCTGTAATTTCTTCCATCTCACCAGGAAGACGGTGGTGTTTCACATTAGAAACATGCCATGAGGGAAGGAAATACACAGATTTCCCTTTTGCTTCCCCTTTTTAAATATCTTTCACTACCCAAATTGTAGGTAAAATTTCCTCACAGATGTTTGTAAAGGACATCCTAAAAGGACATCCATACCTAAGATATTCTCTGGAATTGGTGAAATAAAGACAGTATAGTAACTAAGGAAGTACTGAACTCTGCCTAATACTAAGGGGGAAAGAAGTTTGCTTCCCTCAGATTGTTCATCCCCCATAATCATCTACAGCTGCCCACTTGCCAGGGTGGTTTTCTGTACTTCCATAAATTATGGTACTAAAGCTAAGGTTCTCTGCTTGTTTGGGGGGGTACCAATGGTTTGTGAGCTCCACATGGGGCCTCTGGTCAGCCCCTACGGCTTGCACATGGAGGAAAACTTGACCACACCCCTAGTCTCTAGGCTGGGAGGAGTCTGCCCCTGGAATGCAGAGACTGGAATTCTTTCACCTGGGGTTTCTTTTCCTTCTTCTTCCTCCTCTGACAGGGCACAGGAGATGGTCCTAAGCTGCTGAGCAGGAGTTAAGTCTTTCCGAATGTCCACCAATAATGGCATTAGGTTGCCAAACTATATTTTCTTTGACTACCCAAGCTGAGATGAGATCATACCATATTTGCTTTCTGATAACCTTAACTGGGCCTTTTAGACGTCCCTTTTTTAGTCCAACAAACTTAGAATCTTATTTCTTTTCTTTTTCCCTGGTAACCAGTTGGACCTTCTATTTTCAATTTTTCCAAGATCAGTTATAGTTTCCCCCACATCATACACATCTTATCCCACAAGGAAGCTCAAGAGAGATATGAGGGGACCCTGTCAATCGGGTGGGTGTGGGGGTAAGCACTTTTTAACAAGTTATATTTCATCCCACAGTAAACACTACCTTATCCGGTCCTGCAAATTACTTTGAATAGATTGTCTGGCGCAAGCCCAGCTCTCTTAAATTGCTCTGCACTTTCTCCAGAGATTGACATAAGACCGTGATTACCCTCAACAGTTCTAGCATTGTGCAAATCCTGTCTTAAATCAGGATGAGTAGCTACATTGCTCATTTTTTTTCAGCTTAACTCCCTGTTAGGGAGAAGCCTTCTCCACCAATGTGCCACAGATGCACCATTAATGTAGTACATTAATGGTGATGCATTAATTAACATTAATGTAGTGAGCTTTCTTTCAGCAGCTGTTTACAGGTTTCTGCCATGTCTAACAGTACTGCCAAGGTGTAGTCTCAGATAGTTAAGGTTTCCCTGGAAACTCTGTTCATTATTGCCCAGTTGCATGTGTTGGGCCTTTGCTTTCCACTGCATGAGTGGTCTTGCTCTCAAGAGGGGAAGAAAGTTATCTTTCTTCTCCTCTGAGATTATCTCTATGTCTTCAGCTCACTAAATAGTTGCTTCAACGGAATTCTAAGTCTTAGCATTCCAGTCTGGTTTAGCAAAGATAGCTCACCTCTGTCTGTGCACCTGCCTCCCTCCCAGTGGCACAAATCAAATAGGCTACAGTTTCCAGCTGTGCTTTATGAGCTTCAAGTTTGTCCACCAAACTCGACACTAACATAGACATGGAGGTTCACATATCTTTTTTTAATTGTAATTCTTTATCTATCTTTCCTACCCTCATTCTTCTGCTAATTGTGCTTCCATGGCCATTCGTACAGCACAAAACACAACCATCCCACTTTCGCCACCACCTAGCAGCTTTCCTTACTCCAGTGGGTCATGTGGCTTTCCACTCACAAGCATTCTAGGCCCTCTGGCATTTTTAGGGCATCATCATATACACACAGTGGTCCACGGGAATATAGCAAATGGACAACACCACACCACATAGATGAGGAGGGCCACCCCAGGATTTTTCCCTCGGACGCTTCTTACCACTTGTCCATACTTTGGTTCTCAGGTTCCTGGTGAGATTGACACTTACTCTGTGAAAGCTGCATATATATAAAATGATCCCCAAACACAGAAGGAGCCAAGAAACCAAGGCAGAAAAGTTCAGTTTATCATTATAATTTGATTTTATTGAGAAACTTATGGACGGAAGTGTAGTCTTGAGTGGTTGCAAGACAGGTACATCTCCACATCATCACCTCTCAGACCCAGGGATGATATACCATGAGGGAGGGTGACACATCCTTCAGAGAGAAAGTGTAGAAATTTGCCCTAAGGGCAGGGTTTATAGTAAGCAGGAGTTTATCAGGTTGATTTGCTCTAAGGGCAGGATTTATAGTGAGTACATGCTCTTACAAAAGGAACAATAGATAAAGTGGAAACATCAAAGGCATTCTCCAAACCTGGATTAATTAGAAGTCAATATGGTGAAATAGTTTCCAAGATGTAGTTACTTTAGCCTCTCCAACACACAATAGAAAAAGAACAGTCTCTTCAATAAATGGTTTTGGGAAAACTGGATATCCACATGCAGAGGAAAAATACTAGGTCTCTATCTCTCACCATATATAAAAATAATAAAATCAAAATTACTTGAGCACTTAAATGTAAGACCTGAAAATATGAAACTACTAGAAGAAAACATCGAGGAAATTCTCTAGGACATTAGTCTGGGCAAATATTTCTTGACTAAGACCTGAAAAGCACAGGCAATGGAAGCAAATATTGACAAATGAAATCACACCAAGCTAAAAATATTCTGTACAGAAAAGGAAATAATTTAAAAAGTGAAAAGACAATTCACAGAATGGAAGAATATCTTCACAAACTACCCACCTCACAAGGAATTATCGACCAGAATATATAAAGAGCTCAAACAACTTAATATAAAAAATAAAATAAGAATCCAGGCCAAGTGCTGTGGCACATGCCTGTAATCCCAGGACTGTGGGAGGCTGAGGCTGGCAGATCACTTGAGGCCAGGAGTTCGAGACCAGCCTGGCCAGCATGGTGAAACCCCATCTCCACTAAAAATACAAAAATTAGCCAGGAGTGGTGGCACTCCCTTGTAATCTCAGCTACTCAGGTGGCTGAGGCATGAGAACCCAGGAAGCTCTGTTCATTGAACCCAGGAAGCGGAGGTTGAACCCAGTGAGCAGAGGTTGCAGTGAGCTGAGATCATGCCACTGCACTCCAGCCTGGGTGACAGAGTGAGACTCTGTTTCAAAAAAAAAAAAAAAAAAATATATATATATATATATATACACACACACACCAATTAAAAGATGGGCAAAATATCTGGATAGACATTTCTTAAAATAAGACACACAAATGTCAAAGAGGTGTAAGAAAAAGTGTTGAACACCATTAATCACATCAGATAAATGAAAATCAAAAGTAAAGTGATATGTCATCTTACTTCTGTTTAAAAGGCAGACAATAATGTCAAAGAAAAAAAAAACAGGCAATAATGGTTGCTAGCAAGAACATGAAGAATAGGGAACTCTCATACACTGTTCATGGGAATGTAAATTCATAAGCCAGTATGGAGAAGAGTATGGTGCTCCTCAAAAAACTAAGAATAGAACTACCATATGATTCAGCAATCCCACTGCTAAGTATATATTCAAAAGAAAGGAAATCAGTATATGAAGGAGATATGGGTACTTCCATGTTTATTGCAGCGCTATTCACAATAACCAAGTTATGGAATCCACCTAAGTGTACATCAACAGATGAATGGATTTTTTAAGATATAGTGCATATATGGCATGGGCAAGGACTTCATGTCTAAAACACCAAAAGCAATGGCAACAAAAGCCAAAATTGACAAATGGGATCTAATTAAACTAAAGAGCTTCTGCACAGCAAAAGAAACTACCATCAGAGTGAACAGGCAACCTACAAAATGGGAGAAAATTTTCGCAACCTACTCATCTGACAAAGGGCTAATATCCAGAATCTACAATGAACTCAAACAAATTTACAAGAAAAAAACAAACAACCCCATCAAAAAGTGGGCGAAGGACATGAACAGACACTTCTCAAAAGAAGACATTTATGCAGCCAAAAAACACATGAAAAAATGCTCACCATCACTGGCCATCAGAGAAATGCAAATCAAAACCACAATGAGATACCATCTCACACCAGTTAGAATGGCAATCATTAAAAAGTCAGGAAACAACAGGTGCTGGAGAGGATGTGGAGAAATAGGAACACTTTTACACTGTTGCTGGGACTGTAAACTAGTTCAACCATTGTGGAAGTCAGTGTGGCGATTCCTCAGGGATCTAGAACTAGAAATACCATTTGACCCAGCCGTCCCATTACTGGGTATATACCCAAAGGACTATAAATCATGCTGCTATAAAGACACATGCACACGTATGTTTATTGCGGCATTATTCACAATAGCAAAGACTTGGAACCAACCCAAATGTCCAACAATGATAGACTAGATTAAGAGAATGTGGCACATATACACCATGGAATACTATGCAGCCATAAAAATTGATGAGTTCACGTCCTTTGTAGGGACATGGATGAAACTGAAAATCATCATTCTCAGTAAACTATCGCAAGAACAAAAAACCAAACACCACATATTCTCACTCATAGGTGGGAATGGAACAATGACAACACATGGACACAGGAAGGGGAACATCACACTCTGGGGAGTGTTGTGGGGTGGGGGGAGGGGGGACGGATAGCATTGGGAGATATACCTAATGCTAGATGACGAGTTAGTGGGTGCAGCACACCAGCATGGCACATGTATACACATGTAACTAACCTGCACATTGTGCACATGTAGCCTAAAACTTAAAGTATAATAATAATAAATTTAAAAAAATAAAAAATAAAAAATAAAAAAAGATATAGTGCATATACACAAATAAATATTATTCAACCATAAAAAATAAAATCTTATCAATTGCAACAACATGGATGGAACTGAAGGACATTATATTAAGTTAAAAAAAAAGCAGGCAAAAAAGACAAATATCGCATGTCCTCACCTATATGTTTGAACTAAAATAGTTGATCTCATGGAGATAGGGAGTACAGTGATGGTTACCAGAACCTGAGAAAGGTAGATAAGAGGAAAGGATAAAAAGGAATTGGCTAATGGGCACAAAAATACAGTTTGATAGAATAAATAAGATCTTATGTTTGGTAGCACATTAGGGTGAATATAGTTAAAAATAACTTGGTGTATATTTCAAAATAATTTAGGAAAGTGGAATTGGAATGTTTCTAACACAATAGATAATAAATGCATGAGGATATTCCAATTACTATTTAATATTCCATTACCCAGGAAATGAATATCCCAATTATTATGATTCGATCATTTCATATTGTATGCTTGCATCAAAACATAACATTTACCTCAAAAATTTGTACTGTTAGGTATCCACAGAAATTTATATATATATATATGAATATATATAAACACACTATCTATCTAGTGTGTGTGTGTGTGTGTGTGTGTTGTGTGTGTGTATACTATACAGGCTTTATCATTCAATAGATATATTAGACAAATAACTTTTCCATTCTGAACTCCAATTTATACCTTGTAAAACACCAAGGAAAATGTTGTGTCGTAATGTAATTATGATATGCAAAGAAAATAATATGAATGTTCATTGCATAAACTAGAAAGTGTTGTATACATGTAAGGTTGTGTTTTTGATGCCGTTTTTCTTCTAAAATTCTGTATACAGAGTCAACACAAAAATGTTTCTTGAATTAATTATATAATTACAGGACATAATTTTATTGACGATATAACTATGACAGTTTCTCGCATCATGATGTTGTCTTCTAATTCTCTTGTAGTTAATTACTTTTTTTACACTGTGAGATAGACTTGAGTTAAAATCACTACAGCCCTGTCAATTCTAGCTGATTATGTGTGAGAAAAAATATAATTTTTCAGAAATGAAAAATTGGTAATAATTACAGAGTTAGAGATCTGAAGAAGTAAAAAGCACATGTAACTCTATTATAGTAAACTTGAACATTTCAATCAAATGGACAATTTCTACAAAACTAAAAGTGAGCAAACACAAATATATAAATAACCATGAAATAAATTTATAAATGTTAAAAATCTATTTTAGTTATTCTTGATTTCTCTCTCAAACAGCTTTCACTCACTAAGAAAATCCTGTTTTTTCTGTCTTCAAAGTATATCCAAAATATAATTAGCTCTCTCAACCTCAATTCCTGCCACCCAGATCCAAGCCATCATCATATCTAGCCTAGAATTTTGCATAATAGCTTCTTAATTGGTCTCACTGCTACATACTTTCTTCCCTTCAATGTATCCTCAACAAAATAGCAGAGAGAACTTTTCAAAACATAATTGTCAGTCAAGATAGAGTAACAAGAATCAGATTAGTCCTCCTGCCTCAGGCAAGAGGAAACCAGAAAAATGTTAATCAGGTTTTCAGGCATTGGAAAACAGATGACACAGAAATACAAACTCTGAAAGATGACAACAACGTAAGCACTAATTATTTCATCAGTTTATTTCCTGTAAGCAGTGTCTAGGCTACATCTGAGACAGGAGTAACCCATTCAGGGTCTGCGGTCTTGCTGAACTAAGGAGATGCAAATAGAAACCTGGTAAGAAAACTTGAAAGGGTTAGAAATTTGCAGCACAGATTACTGGAGAATAGGGAAGTACACAAAGAGAGTGAAAGAGCTTGGGAGAGATGCATAGTGGAATCCTCACATGTTTGGCTGAGTACTTATCTATGCACGCATGCCTGAAAATTACCTGAAATATTGAAAAGAACAACCAAAAGGGAGTAGGCAAACCAATTACTAAAATCCACACAGATGTATAAATAGGTCCTGCTTCCACAAATCAGAGGAGAAAGATTCATATGTCATAGGTTTGAATCCTTAGAATGGTATTATATTAGTAGTCAGGCTAGATTAGCTTAGACCTAAGATTGCTATGAACCACATCTAACAAAGATAGAATGAAGCCTTGAAAGAATTCAATTAATTCTAAGTAACTCATCTGGAAGCCAGAGCAAAATCCAACACTATTTTGTAGATACAATAAATTCTACTAACCAAAAGGTAAATCTCCCTGGTATGCAAAGAAGCAGGAAAATATGACCCATTACTCATATTAACGAGAAAAATATCAATCAACAGAGAAATCCAGAAATAATAGAGATGATTGAACTAACATCCAGGGATGTTAAAGCAATTATAAATTCTTATATAGAATACATACTTTTCATGTGTTTAATAAGCTAGACAAATATATTAGCATGATGAGGAGAAAGAATAAAAAAGTGCTAGATGAAACTTGTGAAGGAAAAAAATGCAATAACTGAAATGAAAAATACACTGGATGCTATTACAAGCAAGTTAGATTTTGCAGAAAAAAATCAGAAAACTTTAAAACATAGAAAAAATTATTTGAATTGAAGCACAGAGAGAAAAAAAGTGAAACATGAACATAAGTAGAGCATGAGTGAGCTATGGGACAATATTAAGCTACAATAATGGCTAGGAATTTTCTGAATTAAAGAAATATATAAACTCACAAATTTTAGAAATTTAGGCTGGGCGCGGTGGCTTATGCCTGTAATCCCAGCACATTGGGAGGCTGAGTCAGGCAGATCATGAGGTCGGGAGTTCAAGACCAGCCTGGCCAACATAGTGGAACTCCATCTCTACTAAAAATACAAAAATTAGCCGGGTGTAGTGGTGCACGCCTGTAGTCCCAGATACTCTGGAGGCTGAGGCAGGAGACTTGCTTGAACCCAGGAGGCGGAAGCTGTGGGGAGCCGAGATGGTGCCGCTGAACTCCAGACTGGGCAACAGAGCGAGACTCCATCTCAAAAAAAAAAAAATGAAATTTAACAGACTCCAAGGAAAATAAGCCTAAGGATTCAAACCAAGACACTTAATAACATTGCTTAAAACCAGTGATAAATAGAATTTTTAATAACAGCCAGAACTACATGACTCATGACATACAGGGGAACACAGATAAGAATGACAATGGACTTTTACTAGAAATTATAAAGACAAGAGATGGTAGGGATACATCTTTTCAGTGCTGAAAGAAAAACAAAACTACCAACATAGATTTTTTTTTTTATCCAACAAGAATATCAAAAGTGAAAGCGAAATAAAGACATTTTCATTGTGTTTATATTTCCAGTGACAGAATACATTACCAGCACACTAGTATTAGAAGAAATTTTAAAGGAAGTCTTCAGACTAAAGAAGAATTGATACAAAATTAAAATTGTATCTACACAAAGAAAGAAACAGCCCTAAAATGCTAAATGTGTGGGACATATAAAATATCTTTTTTACACATTTTAAAAACCGTATCAAAGATAATTGACCATTTAAAGCAAAAACAATAATTACGCACTGTGGGAATTTTAATGAAACATAAAGAATAGAACAAAAACAGAAAGGTAGAAAATAAAAATATACTATTTTCAGGTTTTTTTAAACTATACTTTAAATAACATGCTAGTATTTAAAGGTAGACAGTAATGAACTAAAAATGTAATGTTGTAAGCCTAAAGCAACCAAAAATTAATGAATGACAGCTAGCGAGCTAACAGTGGAAAGAAATTAGAATCATAAAAAATTGTTGAAGAGAAAGCAAGTTAAGAGAAAAACTGAAACCAAGAGCAAATGGGACAAATAGAAAATAAATAGCAACATAGTAGGTCAATGGATTTGCATTTAAACCTACTATGTGCTATTCATTATCTATTTTGTGCTACTACACAAAATTAAAATGATGTAAACTCTGCAATTCAATGTTGAAAATTGTCTTGAGCATTCACTGATTTTGGTATCCTCATGGGTTCTCGAACTAATTCCTCTCCCGATACTGGATAGTAAGGGAAGGCCGTATTTGTCCTGTCTTATAGCTCTCTGGAAAGTCCCCATTTACAGAATATTGTTATTAGACCTGAGCTGCTGAAGTCCTGCAGTTTTCTAATAGGCTCTACATGACCTGACCTAAATTCTGCCTCTGCCCCTCTTTTCCTCTCTGACCTCATCTACTGCTACTCTAACTCTTTCTCACTATGCTGTAGCCACACTGGTCTTCTTACATTCTGTAGAACATGTATGCCATCGTTCCCTCCTAAGGACCTTAGCATTTTCTGTCTCTTCCAGCCAGCAAATTTTCCCCAGATACCTCATTACCTCCATGCCTCATCTCAAAATTCACCTTATTAGAGAAGTCTTCTTTGACCATTGTATTTAAAATTGCAACCCTTCCTCCACCATTGTCATACACTATGCCCCTTTTCAATTTCGTTTTTCTCTATAACACATATCGGCATACGGTATGATCTGAATGCATGTGTCTCCTGTCTCCCCAAAATTCATATGTTGAAATCCTAACCCCCAATGTGGTGGTATTAGGAGGTGGGGACTTTGAGAGGTGATTAGGTCACAAGGGCAGAGCCCTCATGAATTAAGTTAGTGCCCTTATGAAAGAGAACCCAGAGAGTTTCCTGACTCTTTCCACCATGTGAAGACACAGCAAGGATTTGGCAGTCTGCATCCTGGAAGAGGGCTTTCACCAGAATGCAATCATCCTGGCTCTCTGATCATGGGTTTCCCAGTTCCTAGATCTGTGAGAAATACATTTTTGTTGGTTATAAGTCACCCAATTTAAGGAATTTTTGTATAACAGCCTGAACAGACTAAGACATCATCTGACATAGTGTATAATTCACTTAATTTTGTTGATTATCTCCCCCCATCAGAATATGAGCTCCTTGCAGTTAAAACTTTTGTTTTTCTGCTCCATCTCCAGAACTCAAAAGAGTATTTGGCACAAAGGAGATTCCAATAAATATTTGTTGAATTAATTCAGTAATTTCTCTGTTTTCAAACATATAGAACATGCAGTATAGACTTTCAAACTTATATAGCACGTATATTTTCAAACTTATACAGCAATGTATTTTCTAACTTATAGAGCATGCAATATAGACTTGCTTAACCCTACAAAAATAATTAGCAAAATCGCATCTCTCTCATATATCCACTTATTGTACCTATGCACATCAAATTTAAATATTACATGCCAAAATCTACACTAATAGCACTAAAAGTCATTTCACCAATGACTGATACAATTGCCAAATTAAATTCCAATCTAAGTCTTTGATCCATCAAATACTTTTGATAGAGTTGATTGCTTCCTTGTTAAAATATTTTCTTCATTGGCTTCTAGGACATCAAATCTACTCTCCTATTTTTCTCATAACTCATTGCCACTTTCTTGGTCTGTTTTTTCTTTTTTTTTATCCTTCTCCTTTATTTTTTAAACCTCTAATTGTTAGAGTGCTCCGAGGTGCATCCCAGGACTTCTTATTTCTATTTACTCCCTCTTTCTAGGTGAGGTCACTGAGATCTATGACACAAATCACAACCTTCCGCTGACAACTCAAATTCTGGTTCCAGCAAGTGCCATTCATCGCAAATCTCTTTCTCTGGAGAACCATGACGAACACAGATTTTGGTACCTAGAATTTTTCTAGAGGAGCATAATTTTAAGAGTTTTCTGAATTGGTTCTGGGTTTTCTAGAATTAGCTTGCTAATCTGACTAGATTTTAAGATGCTCATGACTCTATTTTCAATAATGAAGAAAGCATTGATAGCCCATGGTACAAACTGTTTACAGAGACATGGAAAATACTTATATTAGATACTTCTAATAAACTACTTATAAGAAGTAAGGAGCTATGTGACTTTGTATATAATACCTTCAAACATTTTTGAAAAGCTAACCAGTATAATGCCACTGGTTGGTTGCTCCTAATGTCACTAGAAAAGTGGTGAAAGAAAATAATGAGCTCAGGTATTTTAATTCTCAGCTCAAGACCCACATAAAGGACCTAAACTCTTCTCTGGATACCCTGAAAGAAACCCTTACCCCCTGTAGTTGCAGAGCTGAAATTCTTGAAAATCAAACACTGAACCTTGTTCAGTGACTGGCTGAATTAAAACCAAGTGTAGCCTCCAGCCAGTAAGGGTATCTATAGTTACAGTGAGGAAATTGATTGGGAAAGAATGGAATTCTATAAGTTAGGATCCGAATATATTGGAAGATATTGATGAAGCTGGGCATACTGAACCCTTAAATTCTGATGAGTTTTGTTTGTTTTTGGAAGCGATCTCCCCATCCCCAGTGGAAGTGACCTCCCTACTACTAGTCGTGGCGGCATCCTCACCCATGGTCTGAGCAGCCTTTCCACTTCCATTTAAGAGAATTAACTCTCCATTGCCTGAGCAAACTCTAATGTCCTCTCCTGAGGCAGTAGCCATGAAAGACAGTGGTGATTATCCTCATAACCCATCCCCATCATCCCTCTTTCTTTTCCAAGTCCCAACAGTTCCTAAAAGTGAGGTACAAAGTGTGACTCATGAGGAGATGTGCTACACTCCAAAATAACTATTTGAGTTTTCTAATTTATACAGGCAAAAATCCAGAGAGCATATGTGGGAGTGGATATTAAAGATGTTGGATGATATGTGGAAGGAACATAAAGTTGGATTGGGCCAAGTTTATTGACAAGGGCTTACTAATCAGAGATTCTGCCTTTAGCATTGCAGCTCAGGGAGTTAGAAAAGGCTCAATTTGTTTCATTGGTTTGCTGAAACATGAACCACAAGGTGGCCCACTGTGAGTGAATTGGAAATGCCTGACATGTGTCAAACTAAATAACAAAGAGAGAGAGAGAGTCTCCAAAGATAATGAGTTTACTTGAGAGTGTGCAGGGGATTTGAAAATCTGGAATATGTGCTATGGGGACCATAGGCATATCAAAATAGGTTGAGGCAAGAAGAAGATTTAAAGTCAAAAGTAGGAGTACATGTAAGTTGTATTGTGATAAAAGAACATTGGTTACAGGGGCTAATCACAGGAGTTGAAGTCACTTCGTTAGTGGAGACACTGTGCCAGGCAAATGTTCATGTGCATCTGGCTAGCTGTCCTTGTGATTCATGTAGCAAGCTGAAATTTGGAACGTCCTTGGCAATAGTTTTGGTTATGAGTATATGTGCATAAAGGCTGTGATGGTTAATTTTATGTGACAATTGGAGTGGGCCACAGGATGAGAAGATTAAACAGTGTTTCTGAGTGTGCCTGTGAGAATGTTTGTAACTGAGATTAGCATTTGAATCAGTGGACTCAGTAAAGTAGATAGCCCTCCTCCCAATTGTGGTTGGGTATCATCTAATCCATTGAGGACCTGAATAGAATAAAAGGCGAAGAAAAGAGTAATTTGTTCCCTTTTTTCCCTGACTCACTGCTTGATCTGGTACATTATATCTCATCTTCTCCAGCCCTCATACTGGGAGTTATATTATTGGCCCCCTCCTTGTTCTCAGGACTTCAGATTTGGACAGAATTATACCACCAACATTCTGGGGTCTCTAGCTTACAGATGGCAGAGCATGAAACGTCTCAGCCTCTATAATCACATGAGCCAATTCCTCATAATCAATTTTCTCTCCCTCTCTCTCAATCTCTCTCTCTCCACTTCTATCTCTATTTCCTATTGATTCTATTTGGAGAACCCTGACTAATACAAGGGAATGACATATTCTGGGACCAAGTTTTCTCCAGATTTCATCTCTTACTATTTACTTCTTCACTCACCGTACTTGAAACACATTTGATCTTTTTGCTGCTCCTTAATCATAACAAATTCATTTTTACCTTTTTGAGTTTGCATGATGTTCTTTCTGCCTGTAATTTCCTTCCCTGAGACATCCACATGGCATTTTACCTTTCTTCATTCAGACTTCTACTTTGACATCACCTTCTCAGGCAGGCCTTTCTTCACGACTTTAATATAACACCTCTTTACTTTCTATTTATTTATTTACATAAGCATCCTTCATATCCATTATAATCTATGTAATATTTTAAACTATATGCATCATTTATTTTCTGTGTGTATTCATCTCTAGAGTTTAAGTTCCATTTAGTGCAGGTGCTTTGTCTGTTTTGTTCCCTCATCTGTCTCCAAGGCTCAGAAATATTCTTGGCATATAAATATTAATAAATGATTGAATGAGTGATTGAATTAATTAGTACATATAAAACAAATGGGAAATAAATAAAAGGAAAAGATATACAACAATTGTGTTTATCTCTAGGTAGATGAAATAGTAGGTCACTATTGTTGCTTCCTTTCACTTATTGGCATCTTGTGCTTTTTAGTTAATGAGCATCTTTTAATATTAAAATGAGAAAATGTAATTAACATTATTTTCCATTACAAATTTTATAGCCCATACCCTCAAGTGGGTAAATCAGTTGAATCCAAAGGTCAATATATTGATAACTCATTTATAAATGAATTTTTCTATACTTTGGAAGCTGTCACTTCAATGAAAGATAAGCATGCTAATTGAGTAACTGACAAAGATAATGAGTAGAGAAATGAATAATGGTCAGTCTAAATTGCTTAAATATTATGCAGATGTCAACAATAACTGAAATGGAAGAAGAATATTAATAAGCCTGAAAATATTACTTATGAAAAATATTTTGTGATGCCAAGAATTCTTTAGCAATTTCACTGAAAATATTTAATATATTGCATCTTGGATATTGAAGAAATATCCTATTTGAATCCATAATAAGAAAATCACCAGTACAGAGTTTTAATAAAGTCCTACTAGTTTTATTTTCAACCGATGTATGACTTTTTCTCCCTTGTTGTTTAGGAAATTTTTAGTATTTGCATGATGAAAAGATTAGGAGTCATGCTTTTTTCAGTCCATTTTAATCCAATTATTATTATTGATCATTTTCAATGTACAAAGCATTTTGTTGGGTACTGTGGAGCAAAGCAAAATATTCACTCACTTGTAAAAGTAGCAGCCATGTACACAATAAAGCATCAAGCAAGACAACAGTTCTTGTTGTAATATTAGAGGAACAAAGGCTCTGGGAGTATGGAAAGAGAGATATATTTCAGGTTGGTGGTTGGGGAGGGCTGTCTAATAACAATCATAGGATGAGGATTTGAGTAGGGTCGAAGGATAAGCAGGCTTTTCATAGACAGGTAAGGACCTGGGGTAGCGGAGGACATTTCTGACAAAATGAAGAGACTGAGCAAGGCCAAGAACAGGAACACAATGAAATGAATAAAGGAAGGTTTCATTGGAGGAGTAGAGTGAAAGGAAAACCTGGGAAAACAGTTGGTGCAAACTGTGTGCTGCTAAATTAACACTCAGCTCCCCAGAAAGCCCTCATTTGTAAGTTTTGTCAACTTATGTTGTGATATGGTTTGGCTCCGTGTCTCCACCCATGTTGAATTGTTCTCCCATAAATCCCAAGTGTTGTGGGAGGGACCTGGTGGGAGATAATTTGAATCGTGGGGGCAGTTTCCCCATACTGTTCTCATGTAGTGAGTAAGTCTCATGAGATCTGATGATTTTATCAGGGGTTTCCGCTTTTGCATCTTCCCTATTTTCTCTTGCCGCCTCCATGTAAGTGCCTTTCGCCTCCCACCATGATTCTGAGGCCTCCCCAGCCATGTGAAACTGTAAGTCCAATTAAACCTCTTTTTCTTCCCAGTCTGGGGTATGTCTTTATCAGCAGCATGAAAACAGACTAATACATATAGTACAAATATTCTCACCATGGCCAATTTCAAGCTGCTAACATATGCCACTGAACACAGAATCGGGAAGGGATGCTCTTCATGGACTCCCACAAGCTGTATGAGACAGCTCCCACATGCCCCTGCATTTGGCTCAAATTATGTGGAGATTTATAGAGGATAAAAAGTCACTGAATTACTTTGAACCAGGAAATGGAATAATCAAACATATTTTGGGACAAGAATTGGAAGCAAGTTTCTTAAAGTACTGGGGAAATATAATCTAGATTGGGAAACAAATCAAAAATAACAGTCTCTTTTAAAAGTCTTTCTGAGAGACAATGAAGGCCTATTTTAAAGTAGACACAAGGAAGAAATACACGTTAGAAAGTATAGGCGGCAGATTAAATAATGTGAGAAGAAGTAGAAAAAGTGCAAAATAATTCCCAAGTTTCTAACTTGCATGCCTTAGTGGATAGTAGTACCTTCAGTCGTTATAAGGAACAGAGGGGGAATCAATGTTGCCTAGGGATGGTTAAAATGAAAGGAGGTGAAGAGAAGACAATTTTCGGTTCACACTTCTGGAATGGAAGCTCCCATGTGAGCAGGGACCTTGTCTTTTCTTTTTCCACTATTATATTTTAGTGCTGAGGACAATACCTGAAAACATACAGGCACCTTGTAAATATTTGTTAAAGAAATGATTAAACTACAGTCTAAGTTTGGCATTTTGAAGGATAATTTTATCAGCTAATTGCCATGAAAACTTCACTTTTGCTTGAAATGCTTTCTTCAGAACCTCATTACACTTAGTGAGTCTTTTAGACACTAAGAGAAATGAAGTCAATGAATCCATATGTTGTTCAATCTCATTTCTTTTATTCTTAATGAGTCTATATTGATGTTGCCAAAAAAAGTAGGTTGCAAGGACATAGATGTGGCTTTTATAAATTAATCTCTGTGTCCTCTTCCAAATATCTAGGACAATATCACAGACACACTGGAGAGTCAAAAATTATTAACTTATAACAACAATACTGATAATCTGGCCATTACAAAAAAATTCTAGAAAGCTCTATAGCATTCTATTTTAATAGAAATATAACATTGTAATAGCAACATGTACAGAATTAATGGTAATTTAAGCATCAGAGCTTTGTTGGCATACATTTGAAAAATATAAGAAAAACCTTTTTCTCTGCTATACAAATGCACTGTCCTGGAAAGAATAAATCACAACCAGAAATAAGCATTAAGACTGTGTCACAGATCTACCCACAGAAATTAAAAACTAAAAGTAAGAATGCTTCATAGTATTTCTTAGATCAATGAGCAATATCCAATAAGCCTATATGTTGCCACTTATGAAAGGAAAATTAATCTCGGGAACCCCAAATCACTAAGCCAAGGAAAAAGTCGAGTGGGGAACTATGTCAGGCAAAGCTGCCTCCCATTTTATTCCTAAATAAGAAGCTACAAAAATTAAAAAGCTCCCTACCTCCCTCATATAGCAAAATAGACAGCTTTACCAATCATCCCCACAACAAGGACACAAAATTAACAATTATCTACACTAAATAAATACCTTCATAAGAACCAAAAATCGTAATACCTAGCTTTATCTTCATATTGCTGAAAGAGGCCCTGAAGAGAGACAGAGAAAAGAAAAGCCTCAAATCGCCCATGTCTGCACTTCCCCAGCTCTCAGCAGTGGCAGCATGGCGCAGAGAGTGTCTCTGGGTGCTGAAGGAGGGAGAACACAGCAATTGTGAGGGATTGAACTCAGTGATGTCCTGTTAGAGCAGAAACAAAAATCAAACCAAACTTAGCTGATGGCCACCCATGGAGAGGGCATTGAAACCAGCCCTAGCCAGAGGGAAATCACTGATCCTAAGAGTCAGGACTTAAGTTCTCCCAAATCTTGCCACCAAGGGCTAAACTGCTCTTGGTCTCTAAGTAACCTGGAAAGGCAGTCTCGGCCATAAAATCTGCAACTTTTAGGTGAGTCATAGTGTTGAACTGGCCTTAAAGACGATGGACCGGGAAGACACACAACCCACTGAGACACCAGCTGAAGGGGCAAAGGAAATGCTGGCATCACCCCTTCCCGAATTCAAGGCTGCACAGCTTGCGGGTCAAAAAGAGACCCATTCCTTCCACTTTAGTAGAGGAAAGGGAAGAGTGGGGAGGACTTTGTCTTGCATGTTGGCTACTAGCTCAGCCACTGAAGGGATAGGGCACCAATCTGAGTCATGAGGCTCACATTCCAGGCCCTAGTACCCTGATAACATTTCTAGACACACTCTGGGCCAGAATAAAATCAATTTCCTGAAGGAAAGCACTCAGTTCTGGCAGCATTCATCACCCGCTAACTGAAGAGCCCCTGGGCCCTGAATAGCCAGCAGTGATACACAGTTACTACCCCTAGTGGCCTTGGGTGACCCTCTGAGACTTACTGGCTTTTGGTGAAACTCAGCACATTACCATGTGTGGTGGTTACTGAGCAAAACACCTTGTGCTTGAGAAAAACAGAGGAAAAATAAAGGGGACTTTGCTTTGCACATTAGGTACCAGCACAGCCATAGAAGGTGTAGCACCAAGTGGCCTCTTAAGCTCCCTGATGCCAGGACTTGACCCTTGGATAGCATTTCTGGACCTGCTCTTGGCCAAAGGGGAGTCTACATCCCTTAAGTGGGAGTACCAAGCTCAGCATCGTTCACCACAAGCTGACTGAAGAGTCCTTGGACATTAATGGAACATTGGCAGTAGTCTGACAGTACTCCCCATGGCCTGTGCTGGTGGTGGAAACAAGGAGTTCTCCCCTGCCTTTGGAAAGGGGAAAAAAGAGTGAGAAAAACTGTATCTTGTGGTTTGAGGGTTGGTCCAGTGGCACTACAACAGAACACCAGAGAGACTTTTAAGATTTATGACTCCAGTTCTTGACGCCCAGAAGGCACCTCTAGACCCAAGTGAGGCTTGGGAGAACTTGCCACCATGAAGGGGAAGACACAGGCCTGGCTGGCTTTGCCACCTGCTGATTGTAGAGCCCAAGGGACTTAAGCAAACAAAGGCAGTAGCCAGAGAGTGGTTACAGCAGGCCTTGGGCAAGACAGTGCTATGCTGCCTTTCGGTCCGACTCAGTTCACTCCCAGGAGTGGTGAACACAGGTGTACTTGTAACTCCACCCCCAGCTTTAGGTGGCTCAGAACAGAGAGAGAGAGACTCTGTATGTTTGGGAGAAAGTGAGGAAAGAGAACAGAATGAGAGCAGTCTAATACAGTAAATTTGTACCAGGGAGTGGGGCGCTGATGTAAAGATACCTGAAAATGTGGAAGCAACTTTGGAGCTGGGTAATAGGCAGGCAGACATTGGAACAGTTTGGAGGTCTCAGAAGAAGGCAGGAAAATGTGGGGATGTTTGGAACTTCCTAGCGACTTGGAAGGCTCAGAAGACAGGAAGATGTGGGAAAGTTTGAAACTTCCTAGAGACTTGTTGAATGGCTTTGACCAAAATGCTGATAGTGATATAGACGATAAGGTCCAGGCTGTGCTGGTCTCAGATGGAATTGAGGAATGTGTTGGGAACTGGAGTAAAGGTCACTCCTTCTATGCAAAGAGGCTGGCAGCATTTTGCCCCTGCCCCAGAGATCTATGGAACTTTGAACTTAAGAGAGACGATTTAAGGTATTTGGGGTAAAATGTTTTTAAGTGGTGAAGTGTTCAAGAAGAAGCAGAGCATAAAAGTTTGGAGAATTTGCAGTCTGAGGATGTGATAGAAAAGAAAACCCCATTTTGTGGGGAGAAATTCAAGCTGGCTGCAGAAATTTTTATAAGTAAATGAGGTGCCAAATGTTAATCACCAAGACAAAGGGGAAAATGTCTCCAGAGCATGTCAGAGAACTTCAAAGCATCCCCTCTTATCACAGGCCCAGAGGCCTAGAAGGGAAAAATGGTTTCCTGGGCTGAGCCCAGGGCCTCCTTTGCTGTGTGCAGCCTTGAGACTTGGTGCCCTGTGTCCCAGCCACTCAAGCTGTGGCTGAAAGGGGCCCACATAAAGCTCAGGCTGTGTCTTCACGGGGTGGAAGCCCCAAGCCTTGGCAGCTTTCACATGGTGTTGAGCCTGTGGGTGCAGAGAAGTCAAGAATCACGGTTTGGGAACCTCTGCCTAGATTTTAGAGGATGTATGGAGACACCTGGAGGTCCAGGCAGAGGTGTGCTGCAGGGGTGGGGCCTTCATGGAGAACCTCAGCCACAGCAGTGAGGAAGGGAAATGTGGGGCCAGAGCCTTCACACAGAGTTTCCACTGGGGCACTGCCTAGTGGAGCTGTGAGTAGAGGGCTACCGTACTCCAGACCCCAGAATAGTAGATTCACCAACAGCTTGCACTGTGTTCCTGGAAAAGCCACAGACAATGGCAGCCCATCAAAGCAGCCAGGAGGGAGCTGTACCCTGCTAAGCCATAGAGGCAGAGCTGCCCAAAGCCATGGGAATTCACCTCTTGCATCAGCATGACCTGGATGTGAGACATGGAGCCAAAGGAAATCATTTTGGAGCTTTAAGATTTGACTGCCCTGCTGGATTTTGGACTTGCTTGGGGCCTGTAGCCCCTTCATTTTTGCCAATTTATCACATTCGGAATGGGTATATTTACCCAACGCCTATACCTCCATTGTATCTAGGAAGTAATTAACTTGCTTTTGATTTTACAGGCTCATAGGGAGAAGGGACTTGCCTTGTTTCAGATGAAAGTTTAGAATGTGGACTTTTGATTTAATGCTGAAATGAATTAAGACTTTGGGGGACTGTTGGGAAGACATGATTGGTTTTGAAATGTGAGAAGAACATGAGATTTAGGAGTGGCCCGGGGCAGGATGATATAGTTTGGTTCTGTCCCCACCTAAATCTCATCTTGTATTGGAGCTCCCATAATCCCTATGTGTCAAGGGAGGGACCTGGTGGGAGGTAATTGAATCATGGGGGCAGGTTTTCCTGTGCAGTTCTTATGATAGGGAATAAGTCTCATGAGATCTGATAGTTTCATAAAGGGCAGTTCAGGCAAACAGTCTCTTGCCTGCCGCCATGTAAGATGTACCATTGCTCTTTCTTTGCCTTCCACTATGATTGTGAGGCCTCCCCAGCCATGTTGTACTGTGAGTCAATTAAACCTCTTTTCTTTATAAATTACCTAGTCTCAGGTATATCTTTATTAGCAGCGTGAGAATGGACTAATAGAGGAAACAAAAGAAAAAAGAATAAAAAACAATGAAGCACACCTACAATATCTAGAAAATAGCCTAAAAAGGACAAATCGTAGAGTTATTGTCTTTGAAAAGGAGATAGACAAAGAGGGCAAAAAGTGTAATCAAAGGGATAAAAACAGAGAACTTCTAAAACCTAGAGAAAGATATTAATATCCAAGTTCAGGAAGGTTGTAGAATGCCAAGCAGATTTAGCCTAAAGGAAACTACCTCAAGGAATTTAATATTCAAACTCCCAAATTCCAAGGGTAAGGAAAGGATCCTTAAAGCAGCGAGAAAAAAATAAACAAATAACATACAAAGGAGCTCCAAGACATCTGACAGCAGACATTTCAGTGGAAACCTTACAGGCCAGGATAGATTGGCTTCACATATATGAAGTGCTGAAGAAAAAGAAAAAAAAAACACTTTGTGCTAGAATAGTATATCCAGTGAAAATGTCCTTCAAATTTAAAGGAGAAATACAGACTTCTCCAGAGAAACAAAAACTGAGGGACTTCATCAGTATCAGACCATCCTATAAAAAGGTGGTTTTTTGGAAAGTTAAAAAAAGTCTACAAACCTCTAGCCAGACAAACTAAGAAGAAAAGAGAGATCAAATAAATGAAATCAGAAGTAAGAATGGTTACATTACAAATGTACTACAGAAATTGAAATGATCATTAGTGGCTACTATGAGTAACCATATGCTAATGAATTGGAAAACCTAGAAGAAATCGACAAATTCCTAAACACATATAACCTACCAACACTGAACCAGGAGGAAATTCAAAACCTGAACAGACCAATAACAAGTCATGAGGTAGAATCTGTAATAAAATTCTCCCAGTAGTGAAAAGCCTGGCATCTGATGTTCATTAGTAGCTATAGTCCATTTTGGGAACTATATTTACTATTTAACATAAAACAATTTACCCTTTGAAATGAATTCACATGGTTTTAAAATATACCTTATGGTAACCTTAATTTTGCTCTGTATTTTTGTGAGTCATGCATATTTTTGGAGTTAACATATTTCTGGAATAATCTAATGGCACATCTTCTCCCATTTAGTCCTTTTTTCTGTTTATTTCTCATTTTTAGTCTACATCAAAAAGAACATTTTTAAGGTTAACAAATGACATTTTCCAAAAGAAATACAAGTCTGTATCATTATAAGTATACTTCATGATTTCTTTTCAACATGGATAGCTAAGGCCAATCTTGGTTTCTAAGTAATAATGGCCTAAAAAATCAATCTCTAATGGATGAACTTAGAGGTAAGTTCATTGTTCACTGTGGTAAGTGAAATAAGCTAGGCAGAGAAAGACAAATGGTTCATACTCTCACTCATAGGTGGGAGCTAAAAACGTTGAATTCATAGAGGTAGAGAGTAAAATGGCATTTATTAGAGACTGGGAACAGTATGAGAGAGGGAGATGAAAAGAGGTTGGTTACTGGGTGCAAAAATACAGTTAGATAAAAATCAACCTCTCTATGTAAACAATCTAACCTCCAAAACATCAACAAACTGTGAAATACCATGAAAGTGTTCAGGCAAAATATATATTATCATGCCAACTAAACTGAAAACTTAAATGATAAGAGTTGCAAGTTCTGTTTTCTCACAAAACATTTGAAAAGTTATTAATAAAGTAACTATAGTGTGAAATAGGAGAGAAATGTGATGGCTCCCCCAGGTATTTTCAAGAATAAAGCAGCTTGGAGGTGAATGGTCTGAATGGTCGGCAGAAGAAGGAGATACATAAAATGTTACGTATTACTTTGTGGAGAGTTGGTTAAATCACAAACAATATTTAATACTCCCTTTATAATGCCTAGTTGAGTGAGTATCACCAGACAACAGAATTGATTTAATGATTGTTAGACAGGTTGTTAGAGAAGGCATCTCTGGTATAGGAGAAGAAAAATACATTGCTTCAATTAGTAGAAATAGTGTTTGCTAGATCAATGAAATCAGGGATACATGTAGAAATAACACATTGCAGAAAAAGAAAACAGGAAAAGGACAAAGAGACGGTAGAGTATTTGCACTCTAGTAAACAACAGGAATGAAGTGTGTGAAGAATGCAGTTGAATTTGACCAAATTAAGCAGAGGTTATAACAGACTGAACTCCATAGACGTCACTTCTTGTTGTCCAGGCTATTTTCTGTGCCCTTCAGAATTAGCTTCTAATAATTAAAAAAAGCTTATAAAATGAAGTAAATAGTAATCAGAAAGTATATCAGGAGTCAGAGTAAAATATGGTCCAGCAAACTCCACCTTCAGGGTATGAAAAGGAAAGAATTTGTTAGGGGTTTTGTTCAATAGACAAAGTATAAGATTATACATACAGACATTTAAATTACTTTGAAAAGACATGCAAGCAGCCAAAACAAATATGAAAAATGCTCCACGTAACTAATCATCAGATAAATGCATATTAAAACCACAATAAGATATCATCTTACAACAGTCATAATAGTTATTATTAAAAAGTCAAAAATCAACAGATGTTGGTGAGGATGTGGAGAAAAGGAAACATACACTGTTGGTGGGAATGTAAATGACTATAACGTCTATGTAAAATAATATGTAGAGTTTTCAAAGAACTAAAGGCACCTACACTTGTTTGTCTATCACAGCACTATTCACAATAGTAAAGATATGAACTCAACCTTCATTTCCATTGATGAAGAATTGAATAAACCAAATGTGGTGTGTGTGTGTGTGTGTGTGTGTGTGTGTGTGCATATATATATATATATATACACACATATATATACACATAATGTGAATCTATATAATGTATCTATATCCCTAATACACTCCCCCACACACACACCGTGGAATACTACTCAGCCATGAAAAGAATGAAATAATGTATTATGAAGCAACATTGATAGAACTGGAGGGCATTATCCTAAGTAAAATAACTCAGAAACAAAAAGTCAAATACCACATGTCCTCACTTATAAGTGGGAGCTAAACAATGCATACACATGGAAATACAAATTGGAATAACACATTGGAGACTCCAAAAGGTGGAAGAGTAAGAGGGGGGTGGGGGGAGTACCTATTGGATACCTATCGGATCCAATGGTATTGGATACAATGTACATTATTTAGGTGATGGGTACACTTAAAGCCCAGACTTCACCACTACACAATATATCCATTTAACTAAATTGCACTTGTACCCCCTAAATCTATTGAAAAATTACATAAAATTGTACTGAACCTGCATACAAGATATTTTCAATATCATAGCCACATAACTGACTTTATTTTAGTCAATGTCAATAAATGAAATATTTCATGCATCATATTATCATGCCCCTTCCACCTCATCCATTACTTCATGGAAGAATATCCTAGCACTGAAAGAAGGTAGAGGTTTTACGATTGTGCCAGTGCACTCCAGAATGGGCACTACTAGAAGATGTTACCTCAAACAAAAATAAAAAAAAGAAGGTAGAGCTCCTTGGCTTGGTGTGGCGACTTCTGTGAATTAGTTTGGGTTGGTAGCACTTGTTGCAGCTTTCTTTTTTGATTGGTTTCTGCAGTGTTTGACGCTACCGAGGAGGATTAATTCCACCCAAAGGGGATGAGATAGGGATACAGGAGAGTCAATGATGTCCCTAAAATTCTTTGTGTCAAATATTTCAACAAGCATTTGGGCAATTTTTGCTGCTTAGATTCATAGTATCGCTCATGGCATTCTCTTTTCAATTACTTTTATTTTTAAGATGTATACCTTTCAGAACAACTCAGTTTAGGAAGGTTCTAGGCGAGACTGTTTTTTTCATACTTTTACAGCTTCACTGACAAGCACCAAAAAGTTTAGTGACAAAGTCAGGCAGTGAGTCAGAGAGCAGCAAGGGTCCTGGGTACCATCATATATTGTTGGCGTAACCGCTTCTCTTGTAAATCACAGTGTTTTGTACTGAAAAAGACTTGCAATAGTGACTTAAGGAGAGATTTTGAAATGGGCTTTTTCTTAAACAATGCATTCTCAAGGATGTTTTTGTAATACCCTATCAGTATCTCTTAACCTCTGAGCTATTTAAATGCCATTCATGCATCATTCTCACAGAAAAGTCACGTAGGCATTTTTGGGGGTCTGTGGAAGAGGCTAGTTGGCTGTTTGAAAATATAGCATGTGTCACACGTTGAAATTTATCCAAAAATTACTTCTAGGTTACTTTTAATACTCATCCAATATAAATTGTTAAATACAATAATATACTTCTTTAAGCAAAGCATGCTTCAGACTGGATTGATTAATATTAATTTATTGAACTCTGTCTCAGATAAGCTAGGCAAGAATCAATTAGAAATTGATAAGGCATGGCCCCTGGCCTCAGGGAGTTTACAGTCTGGCAAGATTGATATGGAAGGAAGCAAACACAGATCTGAAAGTACTACTAGGACAAGGTGGGTGCAGTGTCTGCCTTAGCTTTTCTCCTTCCGACACTAAGCAGTACAGGAAAGATTTCACAGGGATTTGTGCGTTACAGAATGGTTAGTTTGATATGTAGCAGCCATTACTGGAAATTGCATATGACACTCAACGTAAACACATTATAGAAGAAAGTATGATATGTAGATTTCATGGCATTCATCAAATTCCTTTAACATTTGTCAATTTCCTTCAATGTTTGACAACATTGAATTGTCCTTCAATGTTTGACAACATTTCTTTTAAACATGAAAGAAAACACTTGAACATGATTATCTCTAAAGATTTATTCAGCATTGTTTTTGTAATCTGTAAGATTTGTAGAGTTACAATGTGAGAATTCCTAGTGATCCAAAATAACTAGATGCCTGGGCTTAATAGTTGAGATTGGCCAATAGTATATCGAATTGTTTGAAAGTAAAAAAAAAAAAAAAAAAAAATCTATTGAAATGGCTAACACATTTGAGAACTTTACATTATAATGAAAAGCCAGCAACATCTATTATTCAGGATCAATCCAGTTTAATGGTTCCCCAATAAATCTAAGTGAATATATTTAAGCCAATTTTAAATTGATATCCCTCAAAATCTAAGCTAAATTTAAGTCCGGAAGTTTTTTTTCTACTGGCAATTTTAATAGAAGAGTAAAGAGTGATTACAAGAATCCTCAGTAATTAAAATCAGTGCACTCTGTACTGAAAATATTGATTATTTTTTTCAAGATAGTCCTTGAGATTCTCACTGAAATTCCTTCCAGGCCAGCAGTGTTAACAGTGATGGACCACAAAGAATTTCAATTTGATATATTCCTTTGCTTAATTCTCATGATACTTTACACTTGAATAGATATGACATATCTTCTGGCAATATTTATATGAATATAAGATATTAAGTAATATGTAACATTCCAAACTTTTTACTGAACTGTTTCCATGGAAACCAAAGGCATGTCCTGCAAAATAGAAGCATTTTTTTCCTCCTTGGATAGGTATGAGGCATCTTAGGGATTCTGCTGCAGAAGAGCTAAAATCACTGATGTCATTAATTCTATATATTAATTACCTAATTGAATTTCACAAAGGTCAAGGGAAGAAACATAAAATGTATTTTAGGCAATTTGACTTTAAACACATTACCTTTATAAAATGCCAAATCAAAGGTTCTCAATTACCATCAATACAAAATGACTGCAGATGGTTTAATTTTAATTATGACACACAGATGAACAACCAAAGAGACACAATTTAATTTAATCTATATAAGGGGTTTTAAGCCAAATTTGTGATTATTTAGGGTTGTCCATAAAAATTAATAAACTATTTTAACAGACTATTTTAGCAAGATAATACCTAGAAGGCATTTTGATTAGGAAGAACAGAAGCAATTGAATTCTGTCCTAGATGTGGTTACTTTACTTTTCTCTTTTTTACACTCTTTCATGAAAAACTTTTTACTAAGCTTCTAATGTTCTGTCAAGAATATTAGAGGAATTTAAAAGGCTCTGCCTTCATGGAACCCACAATTTAGTGACAGAGAACTGCAAGTTATAGGAAATTTGAATAGTAGGCATTATGTGTGCTTTTTAGGGCAGAATTCTGCCTAATACAGACTGTAAGGTACAAACCAAGAAAGATTAAAAAAAAAAACAGGAGAAAAAACAACAAATACAATTTTTTTTTTCAAAAAGACACTGACAAGAAAAGACCAGAAAAGACTGACAAGAAAAGGTCCTGTGAAGGACTCCCATTGGCTTCAATGATTAGGGATAAAGTCGCTAAGTAATGCAGAAAGTGGAGGTAGTTGCATAGATACTATCAGAAATTCGTTCTCCTAACTTGTCAGCCAGAAGACTCTCAACTCCTGGGAGAAATTAAATCTGAGGGTCTTTCAACCTGAGGATGAAAAGTGAAGCAGAAAACTTGGATAAGACACAGGCTTGAAGAGGAATTAAGTAAAAGTTCAATTACTAAACTCTTGGTCTCATCCTCTACCCAGCTCCTAGTATATGTAAAAAGATCTCCAGGTGCTAAATGTTTTCACCATTGCATTCTATACCAACCCACTTATCAATCAAATGAAGGTACAAAACACATTTTTAGACATAAGAAAATTCAATAACTTGCATACTGTGTACTCTAAGAAAGTTACCAAAAGATATATTTCAGAAGACAAAGGGGTAAACTAAGAGATAAAGACATGGGACCCAAGATACAGGAGACACAAGCCTGAAGAATGGTCAAATAAAGTACCAGAATAACAGCTAGGAAGCAGGCTTTAGAAAACCAGTGCAGGTCAGAAAAAGGGAAATTAGAGCCTCTAGGAAGAAGATAGTTCTAAGTTTTACATAAAGAAGTTCATGGGTAATATAATGTTTTGGACTATTTATAGACATTATCAACAGATGCTTTTGACATATTTTGGAGCATATTTATTCATATTTGGAGAAAAATGTAGCAATGAGTACCTAAAAGCCAATCAAATGAAAGGTAAGGAGGAAAAGGAGAAGGAGATTATTAACTCCAATACAAATAAAATGCTTTAAGTAAGTGTACTCCATGAAACAAATGACCCAGAAATCAAGAATATTTGAATCATTATTGATGCAAAGGTTAAACACTCATTTGACAATGGTAGAAAACTTTCTACTATAACCACATGGGGAGAAACTGGCTTGGGAAAGGGGGAAGCATTATAGTATAAGAAGTTAAATTTCCAACTACTATATTTCCAGTAGTCACTATTGTCAGAAACTGACGACTCCATTATACCTACACTACTTACAAATATGGCAGTTAATACCACGTTAAACAGCTAAAATTGAAATGATTGCCTCTTAAGAACGGGGCTAGGCCGGGCACAGTGGCTCACGCCTGTAATCCCAGCACTTTGGGAGGCCAAGGCAGGCGGATCACGAGGTCAGGAGGTGGAGACCATGGTGAAACCCCGTCTCTACTAAAAATACAAAAAAAAAAAAAAAAAAAAAGAACGGGGCTAAGTATACAGAGGAGGGACAGAAGTATACATACACTTACTGTAAGCCTTTTTCTATTTTATTTTTAGAGACAATATATGTGTGTATAACTGGTAAAATATAAGTCAATTCATATCTTAAATATTATTCATAATTCAAACAACACGTAACCTTACAAATAATGTGAAATCCATCCCCCCAGATACCCTTTCTAATTTCAATTGTCCAGAATATTCCATTATATCTCTAGACCCTAACACAATTTGTGACTCACATAATTTGGTGCATGACCCATGGGCATTATGCTAAATACATAGTTTGTTACTATTTAGCTAACTTGTATGGAACTTATACTTCATTAGCCTCTGTTCTGGGTGCTTCTACATATATTAATTCATTTCATTTCCATAAAAACTCTTTAGGTATTTACATATATCAATTAGCACATAAACCCTTTTGGGTAAGTAATATTATTGTCTTTTTAAAGATTAGGAGACAGAGGACACAGTACCTAATACTATACAGTTGTTAAACAACTTGGGGAATAAAACTCACGTTTCCTTGACTACAATGTCTTTGGTGATAACTCAATAATATGATACATAGTAAGCAACTAGTACTAATTTTGGCTCAGATATGGTGCTCAGTGAATAATGTACATAAATATTAATCTGCATAAAGGATTTCAAAATACTTACAACAGCTTCCTAGTAAAGGCCTATATTTGTTAAGGAGAATAAACAAAAGCTCAGTTTTCCACAGTGCATATGGGTCTGTCAGTATTTGATACAAAATTCTCCTTTATTTTGTATTTATTTTGCCTTTTCATAAATTCATTTTCTACATAAAATCTTTGTTTTAAACATATCTTTACTTACTATATTACTATTAATATATATCCATTTAAAAGAATGAGGTAAACATCTGTATACTAATTTGGAAAGTAAAAAGGCATAATTTAATGTATAACAGGCTCACATTTGTTTTCTGCAAGGCACTGGTAAGCATTTGTCTCCAGGAAGGGAGAATGGTGGATCAGAAAAGGAGGACTGGGAACTGACATTTCACTTTATAGTCTTCTCTGTTGTTTTAAATTTTTAAATCATGATCATGTATTAATTGTATAATCGAATAAAGCTAATTACTAAAAACAACCCTTTGTTAAGCTTAAAAAATAACTAGGAAAATTTCATAGCTAGGCTTCAGACTTTTTGTATTTCCCCTGTTATAAAGCACAGTGCTAGGCAGCCAGGATCTACTCAGTATGGTACTACATAAATATTTACTAGGAAGAAAATATGCGTTCTGCTTGTAAGACATCAGATAGGGAAAAACTCAAAGGTTACTATTCTGCTTTGTTCTCTTTAACATTTTATCTTAAGACAAAATATCTGTTGCTCACTTGCCAAAATTAGTAGTTACTAAATAATGAGGCCTATTAATGACTAACGCACAACAAAGAGAGTACATAATCACTAACCTTTAATAATAAGATCAAAAGCCTAAACTGAAATGAAACCGATGGCAATAATAATAGCAGTGATTTGATTTTTGTTTTGAGAGATCCCTGTGCAAAGCTAAGAGTAAATTAGATATTAAATGCAGATGGCAAGAAAAGGCTTTGTAAAGGCCATGGTTTATAAAATATAGCTCCTTATTATCTCAACAGAATAGGCCTATAAATTTATTTGAAAGATTTAAGTGACACATTTTATAGTTAGTAAAAGATAATGAACAATAATTTCAAAGAGAGATTAGAAAGCAGTCAATTTTAAACCAAGTTTATAAATAGAAGAGGTGAAATGTCATGTTGACATCTTTGATAGCCTCAGTGGCCTCTCCTTATCAATTGACTGGGCATTCCTATCCCCTTACTTTTGAGGAAGGATGTGGAGAATAAAGATATTAGGGACAATACAGAGCATTCTTCAATCAAAAACAATTGAGCAATGATTATTGAAAAGCTTTCATTCACTTTCATTAGCTACAGATACATTCTCAGTGTCGTTACTGATTTTATGCATTGAATATACTATTGAATGCTGAAGATTTAGACAAACTTTAGAATGAAGTGGACTTAATTATTGTAGAGGAAACTTATTTTCTCCATTTATTTATTCATGTATTCAACAAACTTTTATGAAAGGCACACTATGTGCCAAGAACTATGCTAAATGATGGGGATACAAAAATAAATGTCAATTTCTGCTTTATTTTCAACTGTTATTTTAGAATCAGCTGCTACATGTGCAGGTTTGTTACAAAGGTGTATTGCTTGATGCTGAGGTTTGAAGTATGACTGAGCCTGTCACCCAGGCGCTGAGCATAGGACCCAATAGGAGTTTTTTTTTATCCGTTGCTCCCCTTCCTCCCCTCTCTTGGATTCCCCAGCGTCTCTTGTTCCTATCTTTATGTCCATGTGAACCCAACGTTTAGCTTTGACTTGTAAGTGAGAACCTGTAGTATTCGGTTTTCTGTTCTGCACTAATTCACTTAGAATAATGGTTTCCAGCTGTATCCATGTTGCTGCAAAGGACATGATTTTGTTCTCTTTTATGGCTATGTAGTATTTCACAGTGTATATGTACCAGACTTTCTTAATCCACTCCACCATCAATGTGCACCCGGGCTGATTCCATGTCTTTGATATTGTGAATAGTGCTGCAATGAACGTATGGGCGCATGTGTCTTTTTGGTAGAATGATTTATTTTCCTTTGGGTATATACCCAGTTATGAGATTGCTCAAAGAACTCTCTAAACTGTTCTCTACAGTGACTGAACTAATTTACATTCACATCAAGAAGTGTATATATGTTCTCTTTTCTCCACAGCCTCACCAGCATCTGTTATTTTTTGACATTTTACCAAAGTCATTCTGACTGGTATGAGATAGTATCTCATTGTGATTCTGATTTGCATTTCTCTGATGATTGGTGATGATAAGCATTTTTTCATATGTGTGTTGGCCACCTGTATGCCTTCTTCTAAGAAGTGTTCATGACCTTTGCCTACTTTTCAATAGGGTCATTTATTTTTTCTTAAGTTCTTTCTAGATTCTGGATATTAGACCTTTCTCTGTTGCATAGTTGTAAATATTTTCTCCCATTCTCTAGGTTTTCTGCTTACTCCATTGATTCTTTCCGTCCGCCCTTCCTCCCTTTCTCTCTCTCTGTCTCTCCTTCCTTCCTTTCTCTCTTTCCTTTCTATCTTTCCTACCTTTCTATCTCTCTTTTCTTTTCTCTTTTCCTTTCTTTTCTTTCTGTGTCTCACTCTGTCACCCAGGCTGGAGTGCAGTGGCACCATCTTGACTCATTGCCACCTCTGCTTCCCGGGCTCAAGTGATTCTCCAGCCTCAGCCTCCCAAGAAGCTGGCACTACAGGCACGAGCCACCAATGCCCAGCTAATTATTGTATTTTATTTATTTTTTATAGAGATGGGGTTTTGCCATGTTGACCAGGGTGGTTTCAAACTCCTGAGCTCAAAGTGATCTGCCTGCCTCGTGCTCCCAAAGTGCATGGATTACAAGTGTGAGCCACAGTGCCTGGCCAGTTGATAATTAGCCATGAAGAACCTCTTTAGTTTAATCAGGTCCCACTTGTCAATTTTTGTTGCAATTGCTTTTGAGGATTTAGTCATAAATTCTTTGCCAAGGCTGATAGCAAGAAAGATATTTTCTAGGTTTTCTTATAGGATTTTTATAGTTTGAGGTCTTAAATTTAAATCTTTTAATCTATCTCAAATTGACTTTTGTATATGGTGATAGGTAGGGGTCCATTTTTATTCTTCTGCATATGGAGCATCAGTTAACCCAGCATGATTTGTTGAATAGAAAATCTTTTTCTCATTGCTTATTTTTGTTGTCTTTTTTGAAGATCAGATGGTCATAGGTGTGTGGCATTATTTCTGGGCTGTCTATTTTGTTCCATTGGTCTATCTGTCTGTATTTATACCAGTTTTATACATGTTTTTATATCATGTTGTTTTAGTTACTGTAGCCTTGTAGTATAGTTTGAAGTAGGGTAACATGATGCCTTTGGCTTTGTTTTTTTTTTTTACTTACTATTGCTTTGGATATTCAGGCTCTTTTTGGTTCCATATGAATTTTAGAATAGACTTTTTTCTGATTCTGCAAAAAATGATGTTGGTAGATTGTTAGGAATTGCTTTGAATTTGTAAATTGCTTTAGGTAGCATGGCCATTTTAATGATATTGATTCTTCCAATGCATGAGCATAGAATATTTTTCAATTTATTCATATCATCTCTGATTCCTTTAAGCAGTATTTTGTAGTTCTCCTTGTAGAGATATTTCACTCTTTGGTTAGATGTATTCCTAGGTATTTTATTCTTTTGTGGCTAATGGGATTTCATTATTGATTTTGCTCACAGCTTGAATGTTATTAGTGTCTTCAAATACCAATTACTTTTGCACATTTGTTTTGTATCCTAAATTTTTACTAAAGTAGTTTCTCAGTCCTAGGAGCCTTTTGCTGGAATTTTTAGGGGTCTCTAGGTATAGAATCATATCTTCAGTGAAGAGATACTCTGACTTATTCTTTTCCTATTTGGATGGCTTTTATTTCTTTTGCCTAATTGCTCTTGCTAGGATTTTTAGAACTGTGTTGAGAGTGGGCATCCTTGTCTTGTTCCAGTTCTCAAGGGAAATGCTGCCAGCTTTTGCCCACTTAGTATGATGTTGGCGATGAGTTTAGAATCAAATAATAAGCTTACTGTCTACAGTGTGATGTCATGAAGAAAATAAGCAGTGAAAATATGGAACCACATGGGAAAACATCTAGTTCTGTCTTACTGGAAAGGAAGTAGAATTATGGAAGGCTTCTAGAGATGATGCCACAAGAATGCTATTCCTATTGGTATTTCTAAGCTTTCTAAACTTGCCACCTTGGTTTGATATTATTTACTGTTTTAAAAATAAAGTTTTTATTTTAGAACAATATTAGATTTACAGAAAAATTGCAATGATAGTATAGAGTTTTCATATACTCCACATCCAAATCTCATTGCTATTAACATCTTATATTAGTATGGTTCATTTGTTAAAACTAATGAACCAATATTGATAGCTTATTATATTGCTGTTCTTGTGATAGTGAATAAGTCTCATGAGATCTGATGGATCTATAAAGGGGACTTTCCCTGCACAAGCTCTCTTTGCCTGCTGTCATCCTTGTAAAACGTGACTTGCTTCTCCCTGCCTTTGACCATGATTATAAGGCCTCTCCAGCCATGTGGAACTGTAAATCCATTAAACCTCTTATTCCTCCCAGTCTTGGGCATGTCTTTATCAGCAGCATGAAAATGAACTAATACAACATATCCTTGACCAAACAAAATTCAATTCACAGGAATATTGTCACCAAATTGTAATTTTAATTAAAATTCCATAAAAATATGTTAAGCACCTTTTCACAGGCTTGTTTGCCAACAATTTATCTTCTTGGTAACATATATGTCCAGATATTTGCCCATTTTTTAAATTGGGTTGTTTGCTTATTATTGCAATTTAAATGTTTTTGTATATTATAGAAATATGTTCTCTGTCAGATATGTATCTTCCAAATATTTTCTCTCAGTCTTGGCTTGTCTATAATTTTTTAGACAGTGTCATTTGTAGAGCAAAAGATTTTAATTGTAATAAAGAACAATTTATGTTTTCTATTATAAATTTTGCCTTTTGGGTTGCTACAACTTACCTTCAAAGCCAAGTTTGCCTATATATTTTCTGACCTTTCTTCTAAAGCAATTTGATAGGGTTTGGCTGTGCCCTCACCAAATTTCACATTGAACTGTAATAATCCCCATGTGCCAAGGGCAGGCCAGGTGGAGATAATTGAATCATGGGGACAGTTTTCCCCATACTGTTCTCATAGTAGTGAATAAGTCTCATGAGATCTGGTGGGTTTACCAGTGGGAGTCTCCCTGCACAAGCTCCCTTGCCTGGCACAATTTAAGACATGCCTTTCCTCCTCCTTTGCCTCTGCCATGATTTTGAGGCCTTCCCAGCCATGTGGAACTGTGAGCTTTTTAAATCTATTTTTCTGTATGAATTATGCAAACTCAGGTATGTCTTTATTACCAGCATGACAACTAATACATTAAACTGTTACTTGGAAAAGTGGGGTGCTGCTGTAAAGATACCTGAAAATGTGGAAGCAACTTTGGAACTGATTAACAGACAGAGGTTGGAACAGTTTGGAGAGCTCAGAAAGACAGGAAAATGTGGAAAAGTTTGGAAATCCCTAGAGACTTGTTGAATGGCTTTTACCAAAATGCTGATAGTGATATGGATGATAAGGTCCAGGCTGAGGTGGTCTCAGATGGAGATGAGGATCTTTTGGGAACTGGAATAAAGGTGATTCTTGCTATGTTTTAGCAAAGGTACTGGTGGCATTTTGCCCCTGCCCTAGAGATCTGTGGAACTTTGAACTTGAGAGAGATGATTTAGGGTATCTGGTGGAAGAAATTTTTAAGTGGAAAAGTGTTCAAAAGGAAGCAGAGCATAAAAGTTTTTAAAAATTGCAGCCTGATGATGAGACAGAAAAAAATAAAAACCTCAAAAAAAAAAACATTTTCTGGGGAGAATTTCAAACAAGCTGTAGAAATTTGCATAAATAACAAGGAGCCAAATGCGACTTATCAAAACAATGGGGAAAATGTCTCCAGGGCATGCCAAATAACATCATGGAAGCCCTTCCCATCATAGGTCCAAAGGCCTAGAAGAGAAAAATGGTTTCCTGGGGTGGGTCCAGGACCCCCCTACTGTGTACAGCCTTGGGACTTGGTGCCCTGCATCCTAGCTGCTACAGCTGTGGCTAAAAGGGGCCAAGGTACAGCTCAGGCTGTTGCTTCAGAGGGTGCAAGCCCCAAGCCTTGGTAGCTTCCATGTGGTGTTGAGCCTGCAGGTGCACAAGAGTCAAGAATTGAGGTTTGGGAACTTCTGCCTAGATTTTAGAGGATGTATGAAAATGCCTGGATGCCCCGGGAGAAGTCTGCTGCAGCGGTGGAGTTTTCTGGAGAATCACCGCTAGGGCAGTGAGGAAGGGAAATGTGGGTTTGAAGCTCCCACAGAGTCCCCACTGGGGCACTGCCTAGTGGAGCTGTGAGAAGAAAGCCACCATCCTTCAGACCCCAGAATGGTAGATCCACTGACAGCTTGCACTGTACACCTGGAAAAGCTGCAGGAACTCAACTGTGGAAGCAGCTGGGGTGAGGGGGGTTGTACCCTGCAAAGCTACAGGGGTGGAGCTTCTCAAGGCCATGAAAGCCCACCTCTTGCATCAACATGATCTAGATGTGAGACATAGAGTCAAAGGAGATCATTTTGGGACTTAAAGGTTTAATGACTGCCCTATTGGGTTTTGGACTTGCACGGGACCTGTATCCTCTCCATTTTTTCCTTTTCTCCCATTGGGAATGGGCATATTTACCCAATGCCTGTACCCCCATCTTATCTAGGAAGTAACTAACTTGCTTTTGATTTTACAAGTTCCTAGGCAGAAGGTAACTTCCTTGTGTCAGATAAGACTTTGGACTGTGGACTTCTGAGTTAATGCTGAAATAAGTGAAGACTTTGGGGCAGTTGGGAAGGCATGATTGGTTTTGAAATTTGAGGACATAAGATTTGGGAGGGGCCAGAGGTGGAATGATATGGTTTGGCTGTGTCCCCACTCAAATCTCACCATGAATTGTAATAATCCCCACATGTCAAGGAGGAGCCAGGTGGAGATAACTGAATCATGGGGGCAGTTTCCCCCATACTGTTCTTTTTGTTGTGAATAAGTTTCACAAGATCTGATGGTTTTATAAATGGGAGTCTCCCTGCACAAGCTCTCTTGCCTGTCACCATGTAAGATGTGCCTTTGCTTCTTCTTTGCCTTCTGCCATGACTGTGAGGCCTCCCCAGCCATGTGAAACTGTGAGTCCATTAAACCCCTTTTTTGTATAAAAAATTACCCAGTCTCAGTTATGTCTTTATTAATAGCATGAGAACTGAAAAATACACAATTATAATTTTATATTTTGCATTTAGTGCAATCATAAATATTGAAGTAATTATTGTGAAAAGTGTTAAGGTATATCTCTAGATTCATTTTTTTTTTGCATGTGGATGTTCCATTGTTTCTGTAGCATTTGCTGAAAAGACTAATCTTTCTTCATAAATTTGACTTTGCTCCTTAGCCCAAAAATTATGTTTATATAAACCTATTTCTAAACTCTGCATTCTGTTTCATTGATCTATTTGTCTGTTATTTCACAAATATCACACTGTCTTGATATCTCCTAGCTTTATAGTAAGCCTTGATGTCAGGTAATGGAAGCCCTCCAACTTTGTTCTTCCCTATTAATACTGTGTCAGTATTCTGGGTATTTTGTCTCTTCATATAAATTTTATAATCATTTGGTTGATATTCACAAAATAACTTGATGGGGTTGAGATTGTACTAAATCTACAGATCAAGTTAAGAAAAATGAACATATTAACAATATTGAATCTTTCTATCCATGAACATAAAATATCTCTGCATTTATTTACATTTTTTTTATTTCCTTCATCAGAAATTTGTACTTTTCCTATTGATCTGGTATATATTTTGTTAGGTTTATACCGAAGTATTTCTTTTTTTATATTATTGTAAATAGTGTGATTTTATTGTAAAAATTCATTTGTTTATTGCTGGTATGTAAGAAGACAATTTATGTTTATATTTCAACCTTGTTTCCTAAAACCTTGCTACAATTAGTTACAAGTTGCGTGTTTATGTTGTTGTTGTTGTTGATTCTTTGAAAATTTTTTGAGAATATTATGATCCTTGCACAAAGACAGTTTTATTTCTTCCTTCTGGATTTGTGGATTATGTTAATTGATTTTCAAATGGTAACCAGTCTTGCATACCTGGAATATTTCACTTGGCCATGGTGCCTAAGTAATATATATGTTGTTGGATTATATTTGCTAATATTTTATTAAGGATTTTTTTCATTTATGTTCACAAAAGAAAATGTCTTCATTCCTGATTTTTGTCTTTTGTTCTGAAGCCCACTTTGTCTAAAATTCAAACAGGCATTTCTCCTTTTATGTTGTGATAGCATGGTATAGATTTCCCTAACTCCTCACTTTTAACATAAGTTTTAAATTTAAAATAGGTTTCTTATAGGCAGATGTTTATTCAGTTTGGGCTACTATAACAAATTACTATTAACTTGGTGGCTTATAAACAACAGAAAACGTTAAGGAAACGATAATCTACAGTTTTCCTTTTTGTAATATTTTTGAGTGGTGTTAGTATGAGGATAGGTAGACCTCATAGAATAAGTCAGACAGTATTTCCTCTGGTTCTCTTTCCTGAAAGAGAATTCTATAGATGACTGATACAGTGTTGTCTTTAAATATATCATAGAAATCACCAGTGAACCAATCTGGGCCTTGTGCTTTCTGGTATGGAAGGTTTCAGTTATTGATTCAATTTCCTAATAAACATGTTTCTATTCATAATCATAATTTTTTCTTTATGTGTATTTTAGTAGATTGTATCTTTCAAATAATTGGTCCATTTCATCTATGTTATCAAATTTGTTGGCACAGAGTTCTTCATAATATTTCTTTTAATGTCCGTGGAATCAGTCGTGATGCTCTTTTCTGATAGTAAATTGTGTCTTATTTCTTTTTTAATTAGTTAACCTGTCTAGAAATTTCTCAAATGTGTTTATCTTTTCAAAAAATAGATATTGTTATATTGATTGCATTAATCCATATTTGCAATTTCATTGATTTTTACTCTATTTTGGATTGTTTCCTTCTCTAAGGTGGATGCTTATATTATTCATTTTATATTCCTCTTCTAATATATACATTCAATTTTCTAAAATTCTCTCTAGGCTCTATTTGCATAGCATCTCACAAATTTTGATAAGTTCTAATTTATGTTTCATTCATTTAGTTCAAAATACTTTTTAATTTTTTGAGACTTTTTCTTTGATCCATGCAATGTTTTAAAGCTTTTTTTTTTGTCTCTGACTATTTGGAAAAATTCCAGCCATCTTTCTTTATTGATTTCTAGATTAATTCCATTATGGTCCAAAATATACTATGTATGATTTCTACTTTTTAAAATTTGCTAATGTGTGTTTCCTATCTTAGGATGTTCTGTGTTAACTTCACTATAGTTTGTATTCTGTTGTTCCTATATGGAATATTCCACAACTGCCAAGTAGATCAAGCTGACTAATGGTACTGTTCAGGTCAACTATATCCCTGCTGATTTTCTGCCTGCTTGATCTGTGATTTATTCATAGAGGTATGTTAATGTTTCCAACTGTAATAGTGCATTTGTCTCCTCCTTTCAGTCTCATCAGTTTTTGCTCATGTAACTTTGATGCTAAGTTGTTAGGTGAATACACATTTAAGATTGTGAAGGCCTCATGAAAAAATGACTTCTTTATCATTACACAATGCTCCTCTTTATTCCTGATTTTTGTCTTTTGTTCGGAAGACCACTTTGTCTGAAATTCAAACAGCCATTATTCTTTCATTTTGTGATAGCATGGTATAGATTTCCCTATTTCCTCACTTTTAACATAAGCTTTAAATTTAAAAAAGGTTTAATAAAGGCAAATGCCTCATTCAGTTTTGGCTACTATAACAAATTACTATTAACTTGGTAGCTTATAAACAACAGAAATTTATCTCTCACAGTTATAGAAGCATGGCTAGGTCCTCATGAGGGCCTTATTTACACACACACACATACACACACACACACACACACACACTCGACATAGTATGCAATAGATAGTATTTTAATCCTCACTCTCCTCCCACCCTCCACCCTCAAGTAGGCAGTCCTATTGTCCTAGTCCCTGTTGTTCTTTTCTTCATGTCCATAGTTACTCAACATTTATCTCCCCTTATAATTGAGAACATGCAGTACTTGGTTTTCTGTTCCTGAGTTAGTTTGCTAAAGGCCTCCCACTCCATCTATGTTGCTGCAAAGGACATGATCTCATTCTTTTTTATGTCTCTGTAGTATTCTATGATGTATGATTACCACATTTTCTTTATCCAGTCTACCATTGGTGAGCATACAGATTGATTTTATGTCTGCTTTTGTGAATAGCGCTGCAATGAACATATGTGTCTTTATGATAGGACAATTTATATTCCCTTGGGTATATACCCAATAAGGGGATTGTTGGATCAAATGACAATTTTGTTTGAAGTTCTTTGAGAAATCACCAAATTTCTTTTCAGACTGGCTGAACTAATTTACATTCCCACCAGCAGTGTGTGTTTCCTATTCTCCACAACCTAATCAGCATTTGTTTTTATTTCACTTTTTAGTAATAACAATTCTGACTGGTATGAGACAGTATCTCATTGCAATTTTGATTTTTTTTCTAATTATTAGTAATACTGAGCATTTTTGTATGCTTGTTGGATATATGTCTTCTTTTGAATAGTTTCTGATCACATCCTTCGCCCACTTTTTTCTTGAGACAGAGGCTCCCAGGCTGGAGTGCAGTGGCCAAATCTTGGCTCAATGCAACCTCCACCTCCTGGGTTCAAGCGATTCTCCTGCCTTAGCCTCCCGAGTAGCTGGGATTACAGGTGTGTGCCACCACACCCAGCTAATTTTTGTATTTTTAGTAGAGACAGGGTTTCACCATGATGGCCAAGCTGGTCTTGAACTCCTGACCTCAAGTGATCAACCCACCTCGGCCTCCCGAAGTGCTGGGATTACAGGTGTAAGCCATTGCACCCAGCCTTTGCCCACTTTTTAATGAGGTTGTTTGTTGCTTATTTGCTTAAGTTCCTTATAGATTCTGGATGTTAGACCTTTGTTGGATGCATAGTTTGCAAATATTTTCTCCCATTCTGTAAATATATTACTGAAGTAGTGTGAATTTGAAAAGCATTTGGGTTACTATTTGTAAGTACTCTTTAAGTTTAAGCCAATTTGGTACCTTGTGGCCAAAAACACATAACAAAATATGTGTATGTACACATAAATGAACACATACTAATACAAAGATTCCACAGCTTTTACTCAGAACTCTAGCAATGAGATAGTATTACAAACTCACCAGTTTGCAAAAATAATAACAGTAAGAAATGGCTGGATACAAACAGTGGATTTTATCTCAGTAAAATGTAACAGCAGCCTTAAAGCAGGCAGAAAAGAAAACACCAGAGTGATATATAGATAACTTAGGAACTTTATAGTTGCAGGTTGACAACTGACATCTAAGTTTTCCTTGATATAATTTACTCATCAGTTTTAAATGTTCACAAAAACAGACCTAATGTGTAACCACTGGAAGTATTAGAAAACCTGGCATGCCCTTCCATTTCCACAACTATCTGTAAGTAGAGGTGCCATTAAACCAAATGGGGTGCCTGAAAGGAAGTCATTCTCTTTCTGTTTTCTCATTCTTAGATCATTTGTTTCCCACGGTTTTTCTTAAAAGGAGAAAATGAGCTGTGGCCTAGGGTTTAGTGTAGTGGATAAAAATGTGCTGACTGTGAATGGGATGCCACAGTATGTCACCACTGAGTCATTTCCACCCTCTTACATGTCTTAGTTTTTCTCTTTGAAGGTTTAGCACTTCTGAGAGGTCTCAAATGTAGACTAACCAGCTCTTATACGCATTTCCTGGATGAGCCTTTTTAAGCTAATTTTTTGGAGGTTCCCTGTAGGGTTTTTGCACATTGTGGGGTGTCAACCCCTCAGACGCTTCTACTCAGCGTCCCCCCCACCCTGCCCCCAGTAACCCAGGGGCATCTTTTGGCTGGGATGAGAAAAATACCATTTCTCTTCAGAGCAGAGAAAAGTCAGTCTCTCTCATTTATCTACAAAACAACAGTTCAGTTCCCAATGCACAGACAAACCAATTGAAATTATTTTTTTGAGGAAAGTAAATGGAGAAGACTAATTAGAATGTACCTCCAAACTACAATTAGGATCCCAAACAACAACTTCCTAGGAAAAAAGAAAGAAAGAAAGAAAAACAGCTAAGATCCTTTCCTGTAAACTGTTCTCAGCCACCACTAACTTTGTAGCTCTTAGGAGTCCACCATTACACATGCCAAGGTCAAATCCTCTAACAGTACAAGTTAATCTCTGGGATTCCCCAAAGCCAAACATATAAGGTAGTGCAATACAGGAAATCAGAGCTTTAGACTTAAGAATCTGCCCATGACTCTTTAAACCTCACAAAGAAAACAGAACACCCCAAAAAGGGTTGAGTAGCACCTTTGTTATGAGTCCTTCAAGGGTTTTGAGTCATTACCAGCCTCCTTAGATTTTTTTATCTTGACACTGAAGATGGAGAAGGAGGAGGGAGGAATAGAGTGGAAGAAAAGTAAATGAAAGAATATTTGTTTAAGACAGGAAGCAAACACAGAAACCAAGCACATAGTTTTATGTGTTTTTCTTTTCTTTTGTAGCTGTGAGGAATTTTAGCCAATTCAGAGTCTTGTTTTCCATAATTTGGAATTCTCATTTAGATTTGACCAAATGAGACTTAGTAAGATATAATGGGAGAAATACCAGAATAACAAAAAATCCCAACAGTATGATTACAGAGGGTTCTAGTGGTAAGAAGGAATAAAGACCAGCTGGTTGTTAATCTTAACTTTAGCCCAGACGAACCCCAATTCAGTTACTTACCTAGGTATGGGTTTCAGGCTGAAGACTGCTGTCTACCATCCTAGAACTAGGCAAAAACTCAAACTCACTTTCCTTCTTGGAAGCAAGCTCAAACTCCAGAAAGGCACTGCCTGTACTCCATTGTCAATGGAAGCAGGAAAACTTGCCTTACTTGTTTGAAGCAAGTAAAACTCCAGAAAAGTTGTTGTAGAGCAAAATAAATGTTAGAACCCAACCGAATTTTGGAAGATCAGACATTCTATTAAAGGGTGAGCTCTTAGGCTTCAGCAAATTACCCTATTGCTTTGAGCCATAAGATTATCTCAAGCTGGTACTAAGCACCTATAGGAGACTTGTCAAAGCTCAGGGGCACCTACACTAAGAATCCCTTCATGGTTACCAATTTGTGAACCTCAAAATATCTGAGACAGATCTCAATCATTATAGAAAGTCTATTTTGCCTACGTTAAGGACATGCCTGTGATACACCAGCAAGAGGCCGTAACGAAATGTGCCCAAGGTGGTTGGGGTACAGCTTGCATTTACACATTTTAGGAAGATGTAATACATCAACTAATACTTGTAAGATTTACATTGGTTTTATCTGGGAGGTCAGAGCAACTCAGAGGGGTACTTCCAGGTCACACGTAGTTTTAAAGTCTTTCTGATTGGCAATTGGTGGAAAGAGTTATTATCAATCAAAAGTAATGTCTAGGTTGTGATAAGGGGTTGTGGGGACTGGGGGACTCTGAAGGTAAACAAGTGTCAAATGGCCCAAACCCTGAAAAATGAAAGAGAGGGAAGACATAGGAAAAAGGAAAGAGATTCATACAAACAAATTAGGAAAAGTATTATAATCAGATAAATAGTTATCCTTAAGGAAATCCTTCCCCTCAAAGAGGCACCATGGTAACACAGACTGAGCACTAGAATTGTGGGAAAAGTCTCAGTGTGAATCTTAAATCTGCAGCACTCCTTAGGCAATAAATTACTTGTTAACAAATTATAAGGTATTTGCAGATGAAGGCGGACTTTGTTCATCTTTAGATTGACAGCGTCTAACATAACATCTGGTTAAAAGGCTCTTGTTTGAATCTAAATCAGTGTCTGGCAAATTGAGGAGGCATCATTATCAACTGAAGTTTGTTAAACGATGGATTGCCAGAATCTGATACAGTAAGTCTGGGGTAATAATTTGCATTTCTGTCATGTTCGCAAGGGACACTAAGGCTACTACTCTAGGAATCACACTTTGAGAACCACTGGACACTTTTTTTTTAAACCAGGGGAAAGCAAACTATAGCCAGCTGGTCAATTCACCCTCAGCATATTTTCATACAGTCCATGATCTAAGAATTATTTTTTTTAAGTTTTAAAGGGTGGTTAAAACACCCCACCACCCAAGGATATACAACAGCGACTATATATTTCCCATGAAGCAAATATTACTATCTAACTCTACAGAAAATGTTTACCAACCACTGTTTTAAACAATACAGGTATTACAAACACAAACAACTGAATCTGCAAATGGTTTAAACTGCCTTCATCTCTGAAGAATACACCAAATATGTATTTTGTCTTTCCTAAACCACATTGTATTTCCAATATTCTACCTCTGCCTAATTCTTGTTGGGCTACCTATATCCATCTTAGGGACTTTAAGAATGATTTCAATTATTCTGTAAAAGCATTTCACTGAAATAAAATAGGAATAATTTTAGAAGATTATGTAATAATGTGAGGAAAATAAGATGAAATTAGTTCTTTCAATATTTAAGCTTACCTCTTTATTTTAATTGTGCTTTAAATCCTTTTATTTTTGGAATATTCTGGTAAGCCTTTTCTAGATGTCAGATTTCAATCTGGAACAAGTTAAGCTTCAAATTCAACACTAAGGTTTATGGAAGCTCATTTCAACTATTTTCATATTGTTAGTGCTGCATGTTGGTATGCATTAGTAGGACATTAATCCAGATGTCATTTTTTTCTTATCTAGTTTAGAGCTTTATCCAGGGTCAAGAAAGGAACCATAGCATAGCTAACCTCTTAAACACATATGGTACATCCAAAGACTCCTACACATCCATGTACTCTTAGGTTGGCTGTGAAATGGTCATTAGCAGCACCAATCACAAGTGTATGAGTTCAACCACACACATACACAAGAGTATTATATTTTATCAATAAGCAGATGAAGTAGACTGGCCTAGACATGAGCGTCAGTGAGCAAGTAGGATGAAAAGGGTATACCTGAGAAAGGGGAGTGTTCTGAATTAAAAGGTCAGGGCCTGAGTGGGGTAAGGAAAGAATCCATGCATAGGGTGTGTGGAGGGGCAATCTGACATGTGGTATGAGAGACAAGCAGAATGAAGACGGCTTCCACATGAAAGGCGTAACAGTGTGAGGTATAGATAACTGAGCAGGGTGAGCAAGGTTTCCATACAGGGTGGTGGCATCAGCAACAGTCTGGCTTAATGTGTGGGAGCAAAAATGAGGTAAAAAGTACACTTATACAAAAAGGTGACAGGATTTTGGAGCCCAAAATAGGTGAGAAAGAAATCTAGGCTGATATGGAAATTAAGGTGGCAGTAAAGGGAGACTGGGTCTGTGTGTAGGTATTGATCACACATGTAAATATATTAAAGCTAGTGGGGACAAAAGAAGGCTTTAACAAACATGGAAAAGAAAAAAGAAAAGAAACCCTAATATGCTTTCACTCTGTGTCTCCACCAAAATCTCATCCCGAATTGTAATCTCCACATGTCAGGGGAGGGGCCTAGAGGGAGATGACTGAATCACGGGGGTGGACTTCCCCTTTACTATTCTTGTTATAATGAGTACTCATGAGATCTGATAGTTTAAAGTGTGTGATACATCCCCACTCTCACTCTCTCCTGCTGCCATGTAAGACGTGCCTTGCTTCCCCTTCACTTTCTGCTATAATCGTAAGTTTCCTGAGGTCTCCCCAGCCATGTGGAACTATGAGTCAATTAAACCTCTTCGGTTTATAAATTACCCCATTTCAGGTAGCTCCTTCTAGCAATGTGAAAACAAACTAATACAGAAAATTGGTACTGAGCATGGGGCACTGCCATAAACATACCTGAAAATGTGGAAGCCAGTTTGAAACTGGGTAACAGGCAGAGGTTGGAAAAATTTGGAGAGCTCAGAAGAAGCTGGAAAATGTGGGAAAGCTTGAAACTTCTTAGAGACTTGTTAAATGGATTTGACCAAAATGATGGCACTGATATGGACAATAAAGTCCAGGCTGAGGTGGTCTCAGATGGAGATGAGGATCTTATTGGGAACTGGAGGAAGGGTCACTCTTGCTATGGTTTTACAAATAGACCTGTGACATTTTGCCCCTGCCCTAGAGATCTGTGGAACTTTGAACTTGAGAAAGATGATTTAGGGTATCTGGAAGAAGATATTTCTAAGCAACAAAGCATTCAAGATTTGATCTGGCTGTTTCTAAATCTGTACACTCCTATGTGTGATTATATGGTCATAATATATCAGGGTTAATTTTCTAATTCTGTGGCTATATTGCGATTATGTAGGAGAATATCCTTGACTAAAGGCAATATACACCAAATTATTCAGAAGGGATTGCAAAAAAGATAATCAATTTACTCTCAAATGTTTCCAGTAAAAAATAAAAGTTATTTGTAGTATATTTGCGACTTTTCTGTTATTTTAAGATATATAAACATACCAAAGCTATGAGATGAGGACATTGCATTATGAAGTTGGACAGAGTGCTGCAGTATATGTTTTACCCCCTTGGCATGATGATCTATAGAAGGGATTCTCAGTAGAAGAGAATGAATGCACTTGTACTATATTTTGATGATGAGATTAACTTCGCTGTGATTCACAGGAGAATATGTAGAAAGAGAAAGTTCATAAATTTTCATGTTTGTGGCCTTATATTAGATTTTTAATTTATTTAAATTAAAACCAGAAATGAAACAAAACAGGAAATTCTTTTCTGAGAGAAAGTGGCATATAACAACAGATGTTAGCATTTCCTGGGATATTAAAGAGCCCTAATTCACCCTTGCCTAGATATCCTGCTTAAGACATAGACTATTTTACTTGGACAGAATATTTTGCTTGCTATAGGAATGATAACCTACCAAAACTCAAGGATATTTCTAGCACTGGAAATTCTATTAGGGAGAAAAGACTTTTGAATCTTGTTCAGAATAGACACAAAAGATGCTGTAGTCATCTGAGGCCAAGAAACTGCAGAATTTGATGTAATGGCCAAAGGTGTTTGGAATCTGAAAGCATACAAGTGACTTTGGCTGAATCCTTGCAAGCTTTAGAAGAGGCTTTCCTTCTTGCTGAAAATCAGAATGCATACTGGATAAACCTCTTAAAAACACTTCAGAGAGTTCGAGAAAAAGTCATCTGCATTCACACAGATGACAGAGATTCTGTAACAGAGGAGACTCGCCCGGGAAATTTAGACTCAGATACCATTTGGCATGGGTTTTGGCTGGAGAAGAAGTTCTGACAACCACTTCGCAAATGTGTGGGAAGCCAGGTTGTAACATGCCTATGCACTGTCTCTAAGTACAAACTGCCAAGTAAAAGAGAACTTAATTCCTTACCAAATGGATACACCCCTGAATCTGCCCTCAAGATAATATCTTAGGGCAGTGGCACAGAAACTGTGATTAATGGCACTTCTCAGTCACTAAAACTTTAGAACAATGAAAACATCCTTTTTTTCCTACTTATAGAGAGCCACAGACATTTCATGGTAGACTGTACTTATTTAGAAAACTCACAGTCACACAGAATGCAAAGCTTATTTGGGGAATTTAAGGATATCTGGAAGAGACACATGAAGTTTACAGTAGTATAGCTTTAGCCAGCCCCTATATCCTCTCTTGGTATAGACAACTGAGATCAAGTAGTGGAGGCAAAAGAGGCATGAACAGTTACCACATTATGGATGTTGGGTGGGTGGATGAACAATTACTCATAAGTCAGCTACTTCCTGCTCTATATCCTAATGTTGGTGACGAGCCAGAGATGATATTCAACATTTTGTGCCCAGAATCTAGGGCAAGGAGTGGGGAAGGAATGACTTTAAGAACAAGGACAATTTGACTGGACAGTAGGTCAGGAGTTACATGCTGAATTTCAGTCCTTATTTAGTTGTCTTGAAGCCAATGCCATCTGTCCATCTCTTAGTTACATGAAGCTAATAAAAGGGTTTTTGAGTTTCCAGACTCAAAAGAAGTTAGACCTGTGGCTGAGCCTTTGAATAGAACACATGCAGTGGTGGGTGGATAGGGAATCCTCAAGGCAAGAATTACACCTTGGAAGTGGAGGCTCAGGTACAACCCTAACCTATGATCCCAGGTTGAAAAAAATCTATGACCACTTCCTTAAGTAATGGCACAAAAAAGGTTGAGGTAGCCCTGCAACTGGGAATAGGGTAAAGTTACACATTAGCTTTAGATAGCTTCACAGGAGGAGATCTCAGAACATGGTTGTTAATGGGGAATTTAAAAGGTGAGTAGAAGAACTACAAAATTGCTAGATATAAGTAGTCATGCGTGAAGAGAAAGAAAAACAAATACACAGACAAAAACAAAAGCAAGCAAATGAGCAATCAATACTCAGATTAAGCTTGCAAATTAAAATTCCAAAGAATACAAAGAAAATTAATATTATGAATTTAATGATCAAATTTAATGTTATTATTTAAATGATAAAAAACCAGAAGAACCAACAAGCTAAAAGAAATAGAAGAAATCATACACTAGAAATGGAAACCATATCGTAAAGAACTCCAGAAGTTGGCTTACATCCTCCAAATATAAAAAATAAGACATTTCTATAATATATGTGGTAAAAACTAGGAGATATGAATTAAGAAACAGTTGGATCATCTCACTCAAGGTCTCAGCTTCAAGGTTTCTTCTTCAAAGTGAAATTCTTTGCTCACCAGTCTTAACTGATAACCAAGTCATTTGTATGACAACATATTCTGTCAATTCACTGTACTGAACTTATAATCAGGTAAAATTATTGTGTGTTTATACTGTCAGACTCTTCACACTAGAAGTGAAGAACAAAGAATTAAGGATGTTATTTTCTAATCCATAATGAGCACATAGAACATGGCCTGGACTATGATAGGTGTTCAGTCAATATATGTGGACTACTGAATGAATGAAAAAGTAACCAATTGAAAAATAAAATGAACAATAAGGTATCATCTCACCCTAGTAAAAATAGCTTTTATCCAAAAGATAGGCTATAATAAATACTGGTGAGGATGTGGAGAACAAGATACCCTCACACACTGTTAGTGGGAATGTTAATTAGTACAACCCCCATGGAGAACAATATAGAAGTTTTCACAAAAACTAAAAATAGAGCTACCTTATAATCCAGCAATCACACTGCTAGGTATATACTCGAAATAAAGGAAATCAGTATATTGAAGGGATATCTGCACTTCTATGTTTATTGTAGCACTATTCACAATAGGCAAGATTTAGAAGCAACTTAAGTGCTTCCAATTTTTTAATCCATCAACAGAAGAATGGGTAAAGAAAATGTGGTACATATACACAATGGAATACTATTCAGCCATAAAAAGAATGAGATCCAGTTATTTGAAACAACATGGATGGAACTGTGAGTCATTATGTTAAGTGAAATAAACCAGGCACAGCAAGACAAACTTCACATGTTCACACTTATTTGTGGGAGGTAAAAATTAAAACAATTGAACTTATGAAGATAGAGAGTAGAAGGAAGGTTACCAAAGGCTGGGAAGGGTAGTGAGGGGATGGGAGGAAGTGAGGATAGTTAATGGGTACAAAATAATACGTAGAAAGAATGAATACACTCTAGTAGTTGATAGCAAAACAGGGTAATTATTGTCAATAATAATTTAATTGTACATCTTAAAATATCTATAAGAGTATAACTGGATTGTTTTTAAAACAAATTATAAATGATTGAAGTAATGGCTACTCCATTTACTCCTATGTGATTATTATGCATTGTATGCCTGTATCAAAGCATCTCATGTACCCCATAAAATATACACCTATTATACACACCCACAAAATTTAAAAAGTCAAGTGAAAATACAATTATTTAAATTAAAAAAATAGGTGGAATAAATTCTAAAACAGACAGTTTGACAAGATGGACGTTGGAGAACTTGAAGTTATTTGAAGTTATTATTTAAACTGGACAATTTCACCCTGATGGTATTTCCCAAAAAAGATAGAGAGGTAAAACATGAAAAATTTTAAAAAGACAGTTTAAGAGCTCTGAGGGATAATCGAGATATTCTACTATACATCTAATTGTAATTCCAGAGGAGGAGAATACAGAAAATAACAGGGAAGTAATTTTCCAGGTAGATATTAAAAGTACATATCAAGTAACATCCAATTGACATAAAGTAAATCTACACGTATGTATACTGTACCGAAACCGAAAACATAAAAAAGCAAGATGAATCTCAAAAATCATCAGAGAAAAGAGACAGAGAAATTAAAATTAAATGATCATTTGGCTGATTTACTACATCAGCAAAAGTAGATTCTAGAAGAATATCCATAATATCATTGCTGGGTAAAATGTCTGACAATCTACAATTCATACCAAGCTAACTTCTCATTGAAGAGTAAGAATAAAAAAAATTGTGTTCAGACATAATAGAAAATTTTACTACCTACAGAATCTCACTGAAAGAAAATAAATAAAGAAGGAAATTAAATACAGAAGGGTTTGGAAGCAAGAATTAATGGCAAGCACATACATTTGTATGAAAATGCTGCCAAATTTAATTGAGTATTGGCAATAAAATAATACAAAAATAGTTTTTGTGTTTGAAAAGATAGAGTTATTTAGGCTTAAATAGAATATATTTGGTTTAGTGGTCATCTTTTAAAAATTAAAGATAATCAATAAGGAATAGAAGCTACAGCTTCCAAACCAGTGGAAAAAAAAAAAAATCAGTAATTTAAAAACCACATTTCACAGAAGCTGGGTGGAGGAAAGGGCAAGAAAGAAAAATAATACCAATTAAAAATGTTAAACACGACAATAAAACGTGTATTCCATGAAGGCAGGGATGTTTGTCCATTTTCTTTGCTGCTTTATCTCTAGTACCTATAATGTACCTGGCACAGAACAGACTCTGAAGAAATATTTTTGGAATAAAATATGTCTAGTTAAACAACCACTCATAATAAATATAAATAAACTAAACACATATATTGTTTAAAAAATCAGATTGGATTAAAAGTATACAAACAAAATCTAGCTTCTGCACTGACCTAAAAGAGAATATAACTTTTTAAAAATTATGAGTATGGGAGAAGAAATTTCAAAAGAAATATTAACTAAAATAAACCAGATGCAGCAAAATTAATATGACATAAATACTATTTTGGAAGAGAATCATTATTAGGGCAAAAGAATATAGTAGGCACAAAAATGTGCCCTTCAGGTCTCTTGTGTGAACACACAAAGTCCTCAATTCCCGCAGGTACCCTGATGAGGTTTTAAATTTCATCTTTATGTAATATTACATGCTATGGAAATACAATTATACGTGTACAAGGTGTTTCCAGATCAGAGACACATTTCTTATTAATTGCCTCAGAGGAAGAATAAGTATATTACTCTCTCTTACCCCACACCTTACCCTTAGGATAACGTGATAAAAGGCAGATGAAAAACCTGCCTATATGAGTAGCCAGACACTGCGTAAGCAAAGGAAAGAGAAATTACATAAGCAGGGAACAGAGAACAATTTTTATCTTTATTTATGTACAGCACAGTGACAACCCTGTCCCTCCTCTGCAGAAATATTTTTTTTTAATTTGTTCCTTTGAGGTGGAATAAAAAGTATCTATGGGTTCTCACCCTAACATTTTAAATATAAATACCTTTTTTTTTTTTTTCAAGAGCCAGATAAACTCTGGTGTCTCCAGACCTAGAGATGTTTTCTGGTATGAGATTCTTATATTCTGATATGTAAATACCTACAGAGATAGTGCTCCAGTCTTCCTGGCACCTTGAGACTTAACCAGGTACCTACTCTGAGTTGTAACCATTTGACTTTCTGGATCAGAGTAACTAACTAAAAAAATGTCTATAGATCTAATTCTCATGGTACCTAAAGAATAATGTGCTTCTATAGGAAATGAAAAGACAAAACCTGTGTATTATAAAAATTGCCATATTACAGAAAGGAATTTTAAAAAAATTATAAGAAAAAATAGTATAAGTAATATTTTGCCAAATTTTTTGAAAATTATTACTAAAATGTATTTTTAAAACTAAATAAATAACTAAATATATCCACAATCATTAATAAAATTGAACTGATAGTTGATTCTACCTCTGCCCTAATGAAAAAGACACCAGGGCCAGGAAGTATTATAGGCAAATTTAATCAAATATTCAAGTGACTGATAGTTCCTACAGAATACAAGTTATTATTATTTTATTTCATTTATTTATTGAAGATGGAGTTTCACTCTGTCGCTCAGGCTGGAGTGCAGTGGCACGATCTTGGCTCACTGCAACCTCCACCTCCCGGGTTCAAGTGATTCTCCTGCCTCAGCCTCCCAAGCAGCTGGGATTATAGGCGCCCACCACCATGCCCGGCTAATTTTTGTGTCTTTAGTGGAGATGGGGTTTCACCATGTTGGCCGGGCTGGTCTCAAACTCCTGACCTCAAGTGATTCGCCCACCTCAGCCTCCCAAAGTGCTGGGATTACAGGCGCGTGTCACTGTGCCTGGCCACATAATACAAATTATATCAAAGAATATAAAAGAGAGAAAAGTATTCAATTCATTTTATGAAACTAATACAATGTTGGTAACGAACAATAAAATAATATTACCAAAGTAAGCACATAGTATAGAAGAAAAGATCTTAAATTATTATGCAATTTAATCTGTGGATGTGTGTACATAAACATAATGGTCAAGGACGGTTTCTCTTAGAAACATAAGGATGTATTAACGTCAGAAAATATTAGCTAGGCAAGGTGGTATATGCCTATAGTTTTTGCTACTTGGAAGACTGAAGCAAAAGGACTGTTTGAGTCCAGGACTTCAAGTCCAGCCTGGGCAACACAGCAATATCCTGTCTCTAATTTTTAAAGAAAATCTAATTGTCTTAGTCCATTTGTGCCATGATAACACACTGTGATAGACTGGGTGGCTTACAATAAACTAATTTATCACAGTGCTAGAGGCTAGAAAGTCCAAGATCAAGGTGCCAGCAGAGTTTTGTTTCTAGTGACGGCTCATTTTATGGTTCATAAATGGCCATCTTTTCACTGTGTCCTCACACGGCAGAAGGGCTAAAGTTCTCCACTGGGTCTCCTTCATAATGGCACTAATCCCATTCAAGAGGACTGAATCTTAATGACCTAACCACCTCCCAAAAACCCTCCACTTAACACTACCATTTTTGGGGTTATGATTTCAACATATGAACAAACATTCAAATTATAGCACTAACTATGCAACTTATCATATTGGTAAAGAAAAACAATATTGAAAGATGGAGAAAAATGATTCAATAAATGTTTAAACTTATACATAACTAAAATTACTAACAAAGAATAGATTAATATTTTTCTCATTATGAAAAAAGATATCTTTTTAAAAAACCTATGAAAATATGTATTTAATTGTAAAATATTAGAAGGATGTCCATTTTATTGAGAAACAAAAAAAATTTCTTCCATGACCCCTACTAGTTCACATTGTACTGGGAATTCAAAATGAAATATTTTAAGAAAAAGAATTAAGATATATTACAATGAAAAAAACAAAGAAACAAAATTGTCATTGCTGATGATGAATTTCTTCATAATGAAACCAAGAGGATCTACAGATAAATGAAACTGGTAAGAATGTCCAGCAAGGTTTCTAAGCGCATCAACATAAGATAACTAACAGTGTTTCTACATATCAGCAATAATCAATAAAAATTCTAACGGAAAAGAAATGATAAAATGCTATAATCATTTACAGTGTAACTTTCATAGAATAAATATAAAACATATGAGAAATACTTTTAAAGAGAAAAGTATACAACATTTTCAAAGAACATAAAAGTTTAAACAAATGGACAGTAAACTATATGCATGTATATAAAAGCTCAATATTATAAAATGAAAATTATCCCTCAAATTTAACTGTAAATTTAACACCATTTCAATCAAAACCCTGTAAGGAATTTCTGGGCACTAGATAGATTCTAAAATTCATACTGAGTACTAAAAGGCAAGAAAATAACAAAAATAATTCTACTTAAAAAAACAATAATAGAAGAAAGAGTTGTTCTACTAGACATCAATACATAGGACAAAGTTATCTTAGCATTGATGCTGATCAATAAAACAAAGACTTCCAGCTCAAAAATGGTGGCATAGAAGCAAGTTGGTGTCACTCCTCTCCACAGAAACACAAAAACAAACATATAATAGTTATCTTATTACCATTAGTAGCCCAGAACTCAAATGTGAGCCAGAGAAGTAAAAAAGCTCTGAGCAGATGGTAAGAGTATTAGATTTCCATATTTACAATGCCCCTCTCCCCATTCTGCTGGGCACCAAGTATGCTAAAAAAAAAAAAAAAAAAAAAGTCCGCCAACTCACAGTTTCTACTTTGAAAGATGTAAAATTGAGATGGACAATCAGTTTCCCCACCATCTTGATTTCTCTGGCAGAAGACCTGTCCCTGCCAAACCCATGTGAAGCATTGTGAGTGCCTGAAGAGGGCAGTATCCCTGAGAGCAGTCAAAGACAAAGTCGGGGCGGAGGGGAGCGGGCAGGGTGGGGTGGGTATACCATCCCCAAACCTGGAAAATTCTGATCTGTAATTCAGCCATAGGAGATACCAAATCAAACTAGCAATTCAGCAGCACCATGCTATAGGACTTTTATTCCACAGGTTTCCTGGGCATTAACTCCAACCACTCTTCCCACACCATCAGGATATTCCCTTTGAAACTTCCCCCATTCAGGCTTAGCAGCACTCCGATCTTTTTGTTTGTTTGTTTGTTTTATTATACTTTAAGTTCTAGGGTACATGTGCACAACGTGCAGGTTTGTTACATATGTATACATGTACCATGTTGGTGTGCTGCACCCATTAACTCGTCATTTACATTAGGTATATCTCCTAATGCTATCCCTCCCCCCTCCCCCCTCCCCACGACAGGCCCCAGTGTGTGATGTTCCCCTTCCTGTGTCCAAGTGTTCTCACTGTTCAATTCCTACCTATGAGTGAGAACATGCGGTGTTTGGTTTTTTGTCCTTGTGACAGTTTGCAGAGACACTATAAAAACAGAGAATTTTAGACCAACATCCCTGATGAACATCGATGCAAAAATCCTCAATAAAATATTGATCTTTGACTAGAGCTGAAAAGAGCCTGGACTTAGGGTACCACCTAGAGCTGGAAAGCCAGCAGCAAGCTAGCAGCAAAGAACCTCTACGCAAATATATTCACTAAACACCAAAGCAAGCCAGACAGAAAATACAACCTACCAAGATTGAACCATACAGAAATAAAAAACCTCAATATGTCAATAATATATAGTGAGAGAAAAGACATAATAAAAAGTCTCCCATTAAAGATAAGCTCAGGACCTTCACTGCTGAATTCTACCAAATAACTAAAGAAGTACTAATACCAATTCTACTCAAACTTTCCAAAAAATTAAAGAGAAGGGAATACTTCCAACCTCATTCTGTGAGGCCAGCAGTACCTTGACATCCAAACTAAAAGAAAATGACAACAAAGACAGATGCAAAAATCCTAAGCAAAATACTAACAAACTGAATTCACAATGATAAACTGGGATTAATCCCAGGGATGCAAGAGTGGTTTAATGTGTGCAAATCAATGAACATGATACATCACATTAACAAAACCCAGAAAACACACATATGCTTAATTCAATATATGCTGAAAAGGCATTTGGTAAAATTTAACCTCAATTTATGGTAGAACTCCTCATTAAACTGCTTATAGAAGGAACATACTTTAAAATAATAAAGGCCATACATGAAAAACCCACAGCTAACAGAATTCTGAATCAGGGAAATTTGAAGACCTTTCCTTTAAGATAATGAAAAAGACATAGGATGCCCATTTTTCCCACTTGTATTGAATAGTACTAGATTTCCTAGTCAGAGCAATTAAGTAAGAGAAAAAAAAATAAAGGACATTCAAATTGAAAAAGAAGTCAAATTAGCCTTGTTAGCAGATGGCATGATCTTATACTTAGAAAAACCTAAAGACTCAACCAAAACACTATTAGAACTGATAAATTTAGTAAACTTGCAGAAAACAAAATTGACATACAAAAATCAGTAGCATTCCTATATACTAACAACAAACAATCCGAAAACAATAATGAAAGAAATTCCATTTACAATAGCTACAAAGAATGTAAAAGACATAGGTGTTAAATAAAAAATATTTGGCTAAATTATTTATTTATTTATTTATTTTTGAGACAGAGTCTCACTCTGTCACTCAGGCTGGAGTGCAGTGGCGCGATCTTGGCTCACTACAAACTCCGCTTCCCAGGTTCAAGCAATTCTCCTGCTTCAGCCTCCCAAGTGGCTGGGACTACAGGCGCTCACCACCACACCCAGCCAATTTTTTTTTTTTTTTGTATTTTTAGCAGAGACAGGGTTTCACTATGTTGGCCAGGCTGGTCTCGAACTCCTGACCTGATGCTCTGCCCACCTCTGCCTCCCAAACTGTAGGGATTACAGGCATGAGCCACCACGCCCAGCCTAGCCAAAGATTTATATAAGAAAAACTGTAAAACACTGATGAGCAAAATGAAGAAGACCCCCAAATGGAAAGATTTCCCATGCACATGGATTGGAAGATTCAATATTGTTAAGATAAGCATACTGACCAAACCAATCTACAGAATCAATGCAGTCCCTATCAAAACACCAATGACATTCTGCACTAAAATAGAAAATAAATCCTAAAATGTATATGGAACCACAGAAGACCCAGAATAGCCAAAACAATGCTGAGCAAAAAGAACGAAGCTGGAGCCATCACACTACCTGACTTCAAAATTTACCACAAAGCTATAGAAACAAATCAGCAAGATACCGGCCTGAAAAGAGACACATAGACCAATGGAAGACATTAGAGAACCCAGATATAAATACACACACTTACACCCAACTCATCTTCAACAAAGATGCTAAAAATATTCAATGGGGAAAGGATAGTCTTTTAATAAGTGGTGCTGGGAAAACGATCCAGTTTAGTAAACTTGTATGCAGAAGATAGAAACCAGACCTCTATCTCACATCATACAAAAAAATCAAATCAAAACATATTATATACTTAAATGTAAGGCCTGAAATCACAAAAGTACTAGAAGAAAATATTGAAAATACACACTAGGGCATTGGTCTGGGCAAAGAGTTTTTTGTGTGTAAGACATCAAAAGCATAGGAAACAAAAGCAAAAGCAAACCAATGGGATCACATCAAGCTAAAAACCTTCTGCAAAGCACAGGAAAGAATCAAAAAAGTGAACAGACAATCCACAGAATGAGAGAAAATATTTCCAAAGTACCCATCTGACAAGGGATTAGTAACCAGAAAATATAAGGAGCTCAAACAACTCACCAGCAAAATAAAAATAAAGAGAGAGAATAATTCAATTAACATGGGCAAAATATCTGAATAGACATTTCTCAAAAGAAGACATACAAATGGCCAACAGATATAAGAAGAACATGCTCAACATAACTAATCATAAGAAAAATAAAAGTAAAAACTACAAGATACCGTCTAGCCCAAGATAAAATGGCTTTTATGAAATAGACAGACAGTAATAAATGCTGGCAAATGTGGAGAAACAGGAAACCTCAAACACTGAAAATAAGAATGTAAATTAAGTCAGTCACTATGGAGAACAGTATGAAGGCTCCTCAAAAAGCTAAAAATGTAAATACCATATGATCCAGCAATTTCACCACTTGGTCTATATCCAAAAGAAAATCAATATATAAAAAAAAATATGTGAACTTCCACATTTATTGCACATTGTTCACAATAGCCAAAATATGAAATCAAACTAAGTGTTCATCAACAGATGACTGGATAAAGAAAATGTGGCATATATACACAATGGAATATTATTCAGGCATAAAAAGAATGAAATCCTGTCATCTGCAGTAATGTAAGTGGAACTGGAGGTCATGCAAACACAGAAAGACAAATATCACATGTGCTCAGTCATATTTGGTTCCCAAAAACTGGATCTCCTGGAGACACAGAATAGATTTGTGGTTACCAGAGGACAGGAATTTTAATGGGAAGGATGGAATAAAGAGAAATTAATTAATGAGTAGAAATATATGGTTTAATAAATGAAGTTAGACCTAGTGTTAGATAAGTAGGGTGACTATAGTTTAAAACAATCTATTGTTTATTTCAAAATAGCTAGAAGAGAATAATTCAAATGTTTCTAGCATAAAGACACATATTTAAGGTGCTGCATATCCAAAGTATATGAATTTAATCTTTAAAAATTATATGAATGTATTAAATTATAACATGTATTCTAAAAGTATGTATGTATATTATGAATCAATAAAATTTAAAGATTCAGAATTGACACCCCAGAAAAAAGTCTATGCATATTAATACATGATGTGGTTGGCATTATAACTACATGAAAAAATTGGCTTCCCTTGTGATAAAAGCGAAAGTTCTTTTTCTCAGTATATCTAAAATGAATGAAAGATTCTTAGCTGTATGTATGTTTAAAATATAATTTATAATTATTAGAAGAAAACATAAGGGATATCTTTGTAACCTCATGGTAGGAAAGAAGCTCTTAAACGTGACACAACAAAGCACATATTAGAAAATAAAATATTGATGGAGTTGACTATATCAAAATGTTAAAATAATTAAAAAACAGAAAGTTATAAGACAAGCCGAACTTGGAGAAGTTATTTGTGACATTCGCTTTAAAAATTTATTTAGCAATTGCAATATAAGGAAAATCAAATTCATGAGACACAATAGAAAATGGCCATCTTGCAGAAGAGGAAATTGGAATATCTAAGAAAAAAAAAACACAAAATATGTTGAACATCACTAGCGGTCTGAGGAAAAGAAACCAACACAATAATCTATCAGATTTGAACCTGCACCCCACAAGTGTTTATGAGAAGGTGGTTAAACATTGCTAGTATAAGTAAAGAAGAGCAATGTAATAATAGACCCCCAATGCTAAAACAATTTACATTTTAAATAGAGGCAACTACTATCAAGTAAACAAAATTAGGTACTTGATTGATTTAATAAATTTCTGTTTGTGATTGTTTCATGTTAGAAAAAAAGAGAAATTAGACTGTTCAGGAATACAAAGGGATCAGCTCAACCTACAGTTTTCCTTTTATTAAAAAAAAATATCTGGAAACATCCCTGTCTGACAGCTTTGAAGAGAGTAGTGGTTCTCCCAGCACGGAGTGGGAGATCTGAGAATGGACAGACTGCCTCCTCAAGTGGGTCCCTGGCCCCCAAGTAGCCTATCTGGGAAGCACCTCCCAGTAGGGGCTGACTGATACCTCATACAGCTGGGTGCCCCCCGAGACGAAGCTTCTAGAGGAAGGATCAGGCGGCAACATTTGCTGTTCTGCAATACTTGCTGTTCTGCAGCCTCTGCTGGTGATACCCAGGCAAACAGGGTCTGGAGTGGACCTACAGCAAACTCCAACAGACCTGCAGCTGAGGGTCCTGACTGTTAGAAGGAAAACTAACAAACAGAAAGGACATCCACGCCAAAACCCCGTCTGTACGTCACCATCATCAAAGACCAAAGGTAGATAAAACCACAAAGATGGGGAGAAACCGGAGCAGAAAAGCTGAAAATTCTAAAAATCAGAGTGCCTCTTCTCCTCCAAAGGAATGCAGCTCCTCACCAGCAACAGAACAAAGCTGTTCTGTTTAAGGAGACATTAAATTTGATACCACAGGAAATCAAAGGATCATTAGTGACAACTTAGAGCAACTATATGCCAATAAATCAGAAAATCTAAAATAAATGGATAAATTTCTAGACACATACAACCTATCAAGATTGAACTGTGAATAACTCTAAAACATGAACAGAACAATAAGTAACATGATTGAAGTTGTAACAAAAAGTACGAAGCAAAGAAAAGCCCAACACCCAATGGCTTCACTGCTGAATTCTACCAAATATTTAAGGAAGAACAAATAGCAGTCCTGCCAAAGGTATCCTGAAAATAGAAACAGAGGAAACACTTCCAAACTCATTCTACAATGCCAATATTACCCTGATACAAAAAAAAAAATAGACAAAGACACATCAAAAGGAGAAAACTACAAGCCAATATTGCTGATAAATATTGATGAAAAAATCTGAAACAAAATACTGGCAAATTGAATTCAATAACACATTCGAAACATCATTCATCAAGACCAAGTGGGACTTATCCAGGGATGCAAGGATGCAAGTATTTATCCTTCCAGGGATGCAAGGATGTTTAACATATGCAAAACAATCAATGTGATATATTGTATCAACAAAATGAAGGACAAAAATTATACGATCATTTCAGCTGATTCTCAAAAAGCATTTGATACAATTCAACATGTCCTCATGATAAAAAAAAAAGACATTAAAAACCTGGGTGTAGAAGGAACATACCTCAACATAATAATACCTCAACATAATAAAAGCCATATACAGCAGACTCACAGATAGTATCCTACTGAATGGGGAAAAAAATGAGAGCCTTTCCTCAAAGAGTTGGAACATGACAAGAATGCCCACTTTAACCACTGCAGTTCAGCATAGTACTGGAAGTCCTAGCTAGAGTGATCAGACAAGAGAATGAAAGAAAGGGCATCCAAATTACAAATAAAGAAGTCAAATTATCCTGATGGTCAGATGATATGACCTTACCTTTGGAGAAACCTAAAGACTCCAGCACAATACTATGAGAACTGATAAACTAATTCAATAAAGTTGCAGTATACAAAATCAACATGCAAAAAATCAGTAGCATTTTTATATGCCAACAGGGAACGATCTGAAAAAGAAATCAATAAGCTAATTAAATTTACAATAGATACAAATAATGTACCTAGGAATTAAACTTAACCAAAGAAGTGAAAGATCTCTACCATAAAAACCATAATATACTGATGAAATAAATTGAAGAAAAGACAAGACTGCAAAGATATTTTACGTTTATGTATTAGAAGAATAAATATTGTTAAAATATCCATACTACCCGAAGTATCTACTCAATGAAATCTCTGTCAAAATAGCAATGATCTTCTTCACAGAAATAGAGAAAACGATGCTAAAATATATATGGAGTCACAAAAGACCCAGAATAGCTAAAGCTATCCTAAGCAAAAAGAACCAAACTGGAGAAATTATATTACTTAACTTCAAATTACACTACAGAGGTATAGTAACCAAGACAGCATAGCACAGGAATAAAAACAGACACACAGACCGAAAGAACAGAATAGACAACCCAGAAATAAATCCATACACTTACAGTGAGCTCATTTTCCACAAGGGGGCCAAGAACATACATGGAGGAAAGGAGGTTCTCTTCAATAAACGGTGTTGGGAAAACTGGACACCTATATGGAAAAGAATGAAGCTGGACCACTGTCTCTCACCATATACAAAAATAAAATCTACACTGATTAAAAAAAACCTTAAATCTAAGACATAACATTATAAAACTAGTACAAGAAAACTCCGGGGAAAATCTCCAGGACATTGGTCTGGGCAAAGATTTCTTGAGTAATACCCCACAAGCACAGGCAACCAAAGCAAACATGGACAAATGGAATCACAAGTTAAAAAGCTTCTGCATAGCGAAGAATACGATCAAGAAAGTGAAGAAGCAACCCACATATTGGAAGAAAATATTTGCAAACTAATCATCTATCAACTAATAACCAGAATATATAAGGAGCTCAAACAACTCTATAGGAAAAAAATCTAATAATCCAATCAAAAATGGGCTGAAGATCTGAATAGACATTTCTCAAAAGAAGACATACAAATGGCCAACATATATATGAAAAGCTGACCAATATCATTGATCATAAGAGAAATGCAAATCAAAACTGCAATGAGATACCATCTCATCTTAGTTAGAATGGCTTTTATCCAAGTGTAAGGCAATAACACACGTGGATGAGGCTGTTGGGAAAAGGGAACCCTTGTATACTATTGGTGGGAATATAAGTTAGTAAAATTACTATGGAGAACTGTTTGGAGGTTTCTCAACAAACTAAAAATAGAACTTCCATAAGATCCATCAATCCCACTCCTATGTATATATTCAAAAGAAAGGAAATCAGTATATCAAAGAGATATCTGCACTCTCATGCTTATTACACCTTGGCTATTCACAATAGCCAAGATTTGGAAGCAATCTTAACGTCCATCAACCTATACATGGATAAAGAAAAAGTGGTATATATACACAATGGAGTGCTATTCCTCCTTCAAAAAGAATGATATTCTGTCATTTGCTACCACATAGTTTGAGGTGGGTGTCATGATGTTACATGAAATAAACCAGACATAGAAAGACTAACCTTTCATGGTCTTAATTATTTGTGGGAGGTAAAAGTTAAAACAATTGAACTCATGGAGATGGAGAGTAGAAGGCTGGCTACCAGAGGCTGGGAATGGTAGTGGGGGTATGGGGCTTAAGTGGCAATGGTTAATGGTACAAAAAAAAGTTAGAAATAATAAATAAGACCTAGTGTTTTCTAGCACAATAGTCAAATGTAATTTATAATCAAATGTATTTTAATTGTACATTTTAAAGTTACTAAATGAGTATAATTAGATTGTAATACAAAGGATAAATGCTTGAGGTGATGGATACACCATTTACCCTGATGTGATTATTATGCATTGCATTCTTGTGACAAAATATCTCATGTAACCCATAACTACATAAACCTACCATGTACATACAAAACTAAAAAATAGAAATAAAAATAAATCTGAATCAAATACTAACATTTGTTAAATCTCAGTGCTAGGTATACAGGTATTGCTATCAGCACCTTATGTTTTCTTGTATTTTGTACGTTTAAACTTCATATATATACAAAACTACATATATACATAAAACTTGGGTTCAAATGAAACTAACTGGACTTTTTGAGTGGGGTAAAGAACAAAATATTCTTTGGATTAGCAGGCTATTTCTAGGCTAAAGTTGAATTCGGGATAAACAGCAATAAAAGAATCAAGCAATCTTCGTGTGTGCATGTGTGTGTGTCACCTCATTTGAAGGGTTAGAGGTCTTGGGAAGAGGAATAGAAGATAATATAGACATTAAGCAATATTCATGTTATACTTAAGATGGGTGAAAAAAGGATGAAAAGAAAGTTGAGTGACAGGAAGCGTCTTGAAGTCATAAATTTGTTTTTTATCTAATAGACTATTGGAGGTAAAACATCGTTTTTGAAGTAATGAGGTAACAAAAGTCATCTCCTGGGAAAACCACTCTGATGGAAGTTATGGGCTGGTATAACTTGAACAAGCCTCTTCCTACCTGCTCTCATAAAGGAGGGCACAACACAATAGGAGTTTTTATTCCTGAATTCCTTCACCTCCTTATGCCATCTTGTAGGAAAGGATTTAAGACAGGCCCTTCTCTACCTATCTGCCACTTTTCCATCAAAAGAATTACAGAGTTTAGCAGTTTGGAGACAGTTTTCACAGATATTATTCACTTTACCAGATAGTTCTTCTGTAGGATGGCATTTTCAATAAGGGTACATTGCTTACTGCCTTTAAAATATTATACAAAATAATTTTGCTATGAAATGAAATGAAATGTCTATCTACTGTCAAACCACTTTTTCTTATATCTCTCCTGTAAAAGTAAATGAAAGAAGGAAATGATTCTGCATTTTTAGTCCAGGCAAATCCCACTTCATATCAACTCAGTACTTTCAACATTTCAGGCTGTTACTTTTCTAATAAAATGCAAAAAAGAAAATCAGTGATGAAATGACTCTTTGTAATGTTGCTTGATTCAAAGGGACTGACATCCCACATAGTATTATTTCCTATTGCTTCCTTATGGTTACTTGAAAACTAATCAGAGATTAATTATCCATAGCTCCATACAGAGGAGTAAAGGGCATTTTTTTTCACCTGAAATTTGGAATAGTTAACAAAGGTTTTTAACAAAGAACTCTATTATGTGTCAGGGGACTTGGGGTTCATCTCCGACAAGATTTGCTACTGGTACAAGAGACAAAAATGTCATTACTGCTCCTCACTCTAACTGTGGAACTAGGATGATACTTAGCTAACACAGGATTTATTATAAACTTTCAAATACTATTCAAAGGCTGTTTGTCAGTTTATGATGAAAGTTTACATGTTAAAGGAATACAAACACAAAATAAATTAACACAGAGAAAATAACCAGTGTGATAAATGACAAAGTCTTTATGTGTTATTGCAAATTACAGATCTCTATAATCACTTGAAAAGGACTCAAGCATTTAACATCACAGTAGTATATTTATATATTTTTGCAATGTAAAATATATTCCATTGCATGCCCTTTTAATGCTGTGCCAACACATAACGTAATTGTAGAATAACATTCATTGTAAGAATTGATGGAAGCCATTATGTTATAGGTTAAGTGAAATGATAATGGCAGGGTATGGTAATAAAATTCTTCTTGTACAAAAAGGAGAATGAAGAAAAGCACTTTATTTCTTCTTCAAAAAAGCCTTCTTGCTAAAAGATAATTCCAAGATAAGTGAAACAAATATCATCCAAAGTGGTGTTAGAAGAAAATAATACAAAAAACTCATGTTTATTTTTATCTCCTGTCTTTTAATTCTTGGTTTTTTGTGTTTTGTAATTCACATAAATACTGGTATGGTTATACATGTTTATAATTTATAAACAAATAAATGGTGCAACAAGACCATTTCAATGACTTCATCAAATCTTACCTAAGTTAGTCTTCTAATTTGTCCCACTGCCTCTAGTCTCACCCATATCCCTCCATTCTTTACTCTACATTGTCAGCAGAGGCATCTTTCCAAAGTGTATATGTGATTTTGTTTTTATAACACATTTGATTTCTTGGAAACAGACTGTGAGATGAGGGTTTATATGCAGGAGGTTTACTGGGAATGTTCTCAGAAGATATACGTATAAGGAAGTAGGGAAGGCAGGGTGGAGCAGAGGGAAAATTTTATTCCCACTGCTTTGCAAATGGAGCCTTAGAGTACACTTCAGAAATAACTGGAGCTTGAATGTCCAGCTTTTCAGTGTTGTCTCAAATTGAAGAAAGGGGCTTTTACTTTTGAACCCCCAGAAAGCCAATCATTGTCCATAGACTAAATGACATAAGAGTTGTTGTAAATTTGGGTAAGGATGCAGTGTTCTTTGGGGTTCCCAACTGTGAGCTGCCAGCAGAAGACATTTCCAACATTGGCCCTGAAGAGATCTTGGGGGATTGATACCTTGCCTATTACAAAGTTCTAATCCCAAACAAAGATATTAAAAATTTAAGTTAAGAGAGATAAGGGGAGGATTTGTGAATAATTTATGTTATTTAAAAGAGAATTATTGCTGTGCTTCGAAGAAGAAAAGTGTTTTTCTTTCTTTTTTTTTTTTTTTTGGTGGTGGGAGAGGGATATCCTTTTCATGTCAAACTTACGAAAAGAAGCTCTAATGCATCCAATTTTAAAATCCTAAGGCAGATTTCTTGAAGTTTGAGAAACTCAGTAGACTGTGGTCTAACTCCACCCACAAAAATATGGAAGCCTAAGTCAACTTTGTCGGGTAGTGAAAACAAGATGCTGCTTCATATGGGAGGCTATTCACTCCCCTCCAGTGGTTATTCAAAGGCCCAAGAGCTAACCAAGTTTGCTAAGGTAAGTACTCAAATAATTATAATGCCAAAAATACTATGAATAATGCTATAAGAAATGTTCAAAGCCGAGTGCGGTAGCTCACGCCTGTAATCCCAGCACTTTGGGAGGCCAAGGCAGGCGGATCACCCGAGATCGGGAGTTCGAGACGAAAGTGACCAATATGGAGAAACCCCATCTCTACTAAAAATACAAAATTAGCCAGGCATGGTGGCGCATGCCTGTAATCCCAGCTACTCAGGAGGCCGAGGCAGGAGAATCGCTTGAACCTGGGAGGCGAAGGTTGTGGTGAGCCGAGATCACACTATTCCACTCCAGCCTGGAGAACAAGAGCAAAACTCTGTCTCAATAAATACATAAGTAAATAAGTTTCAAGACAATTGCTAGTGGGTTGTGAAGGAAAAGAAAATTGCTTCTAGTTTCAAAAAGTAGAGAAAAGTTTTACACACTAATTTGCATTTTATGTGGTATTGATCTGTAATGAAGAGAGGGGAAAGCCTAAGAAGGAAGGTTTAAGGTGAAGTAAACAGCCTGAGGCAAAGTACCAGTGTTAAAAGTACTGTGAAAGAAGAGTATGTCAGATGACACAATGAAATACATTGAAATATCACTGTGGATCTATATTAGTTTATTAGGGCTGCCATAACAAAATACCACAGACTTGGTAGTTTAAACAGAGCTCTGGAGGCTGGAAGTCCAAGGTCAAGTGTCAGCAGGGTTGGTTTCTCCTTAGGCCTCTCTCCTGGGCTTGCAGATAAGTGTCTTCTCACTCTGGCGTCATATAACCTTTCTTCAGTTTGTTTGTATCCCAGATCTCTCCTTAGGTGTCCAAAATTTCTTGTTTCATAAGGACACCAGTCAGATTGGTTTAGGCCCACCCTAAAGGCCTCATTTTAATTTTATCAGCTTTTTAAGAGCACTATCTCCAAATACAGTCACATTCTGAGCTACTGAGTTTTAAGACTTCAATACATGACTTTTGGGGGAACACAAAATGTTCCCCATAACAGGGGAAATTAATCTATTATAAACTTGTCCATATATGTAAACCTGAGATAGAATTATGTAACAAAAAGAAATTAAAATTTTGACAGTAGAAAAGTCTTTGATGATTCCTAGTTCATTTATTCATTGAAAGATTAACAGTGTGACCTTGAACAACTTATGTAATTTCTTTAATCTTCTGCTTCCTCAATGAAAAAATGAGTACAAAAATGTCTACTTTATTGAGTGGTTGTGAAGATTAAATAAGATAATAATTTCTAAATAATTCAGCATATAAACTGACAGTAATTTATAGATCAATATAATTTATCTTACCTTATTTTCTTCTAACTTTGGCTAAAATTATACACTGTCAGTGAAGTCTTAATTGACCATTCTTTTAAAAATCATAACTTTCTATTTCCCTTGCTAGCATATCTTCATATACCTTCTGTTTATTTTTCCTTGTGGTACCTGCTATCTAACATACAATATATTTATTTATTTACCTAAAATTTGTTTTCTGACTAGCCCCTACTAGAATGACAGCTAATTGTGTATAGAAACATCACCTTTTTCTCTGCTGTATCCCCGTGCCTAGAATATGTTCTAGCACGTAAGTGCTCAGAAAATATTGGTTGAATTAATTAATTAATATTGAATACTATTTAGAGAAAAAATTAACTTATGCTATAATCAGATTTATAGATTAATACTTAAAGAGCCTTCAACCAAGGATTTATCATTATAACAGACATACATGAAGAGGCTTTAATAAAATTTATGGTTGATAGGCAACTAATATTGTGAAATGGCTACATTTCAGACTAGGCAGGCATAGCATCCCTATAGGACTGGCAACAAAGCTGATTGAAGAGTTCCTGTTTTTTCATTTTCATTGACATGGAGCAGACTTGTTTTAACAGAGAAACAAGATGACAACTTGTTAAATGAACTAGACTGAAGAGACAAGCCACAGAGCACTTGAAAATCCACCTTTCACTCGACTTTCTTTGACTTCAGAGGACATTATTAAAAACCTTGGAGGTTTTACATTAGAGGTAGGTGATATTTACATTGCAACGATTTGTATTCTAGCCACTTATGTATATATGTTATCTCAAGTAATCCTCACAACAACCCAATGACGAAGATACAATTATAAGCCTCTCTTTCTAGATGAAAACACCAGAGGCTCAGAGAGTTGAAGGAACACTATAAAGCCACCCATTTGAGAAGTGTTATTCATGATATGTACCTGTGTCTTCAGAGAAATAGGACATTGCTTTCTTCACTCTAAAACATTGCCATTTTCTAATTAACATTCCTTTCTGAGACTGTTGATAGCAGCCTAGAGTTATGAATTAGAATCACTTCAGGTCATTTTCTCCTCTATAACATATTCCACATAGCCTAGTACCAAATCCTGACTATGTGTTCAGATTCTAAATAAATCATCTACACAACAAATTCTGCCAAAATACATTAATTAACACAGTTGGTGGTACTAGATAAATGTCTACCCTGTGAATGCTTAGGGTACTTGAAGGAAAGAAAATCATTTTAAGTAGATATTATTGGAAACTTTACAGTTTCCAAAGGGTCTGTGCAAGCTCCTCAACGTGTTGGAATCTGATTCCAAGGCCCAAAATGCAGGAAATGGGCCCTTTGTTTTCTGATTCAGATAGCAAAGTTAGGAGTAATTCCATAGTCAACTGATTTTATTTCAAAGTTCCAGACCAAAATATTAAACTTCAATCTAGGATTCTACATAGAATTCAAATCTCTAAACAAATTTTATTTCAAATATTTATTTCAATGGTCATTGAGATATCTGCTATGATGCCATTCACTGTGCTGGACACAGATAGATGCAAGAAGCTATAAGAATAGATACAAGTTATAAAACACAATTATATCTTCAAAGTGGGAATCAGTGCTGGAAGATAAAAGCACCAGCTAAAGACGTAGACAGTGCTCCCAGTCCCGGATCCACTATTATTTCTGAAACTCACATTATGTTTAACTGAAAATAATAACATACACTTCAGAAAATTTTTATGAGGATTTCATAGTTTAACATAAAGTGTCCAGAGTCTGACACATAGTTGGTGTACAAAAGTTAAACATTTTTATTAAAGTTATTATTATTAATAGAAAGCTAGGTAGTACAAGCAACATGAAATGCATCTAATAAAAAATGAGGGAGCACAGCTTTGGTGATATATGCTATTGCCATATTTTTTCCCATTGCCATACAGGGCATTGTTATACCAAAAACACTATGAAACTCATAAAAAATAATTTTTATATCAATATTGTCTAAAGTGCTTTCCTTAATATGTAGAAGTCCTGAAAATGAGGCAGAACAAGTTTTGTTGTGTTTATTGTAGCTAATAAAGTATAGGGTCTGAATCTTCTGATACCATGCAGTGCTCTTGCTACAACATGCAAGGCTGCTGATCTCTAGATGTGTGCTCTTCCATTTGCTACCTCTCAATAATATTAAAAGTACATGCCAACTAGAGCAGGCAAGTGGTCCCTTATCTGCACCTGTATCTGTATCCATATTCATATTTATATTAAGTTACATGCAATCACATTGCATTTTTGTAAGTCAAAATTAGCAAAATTCCAGTGATTTTGTATGATTTAACATGCTTACATATATGCAGTATGGGATATTGTTTAAAAGTGTGGGTTTTGGTATTGGACAGATGTAGACCTATAGTCTAGCTCTTTCACATAAGTTATATAAACAATGGAAAGATCATTGTCTATTGAGTGCTTCAGAACTCTGATTGTTTTAATGGAAATATTAAATATTAAAATCAATAACAGTTGCTTCTTAGAGTTGTGCTTACCATATATTAAGTACTGATTATTATAATTATGAGTAGCCATGAGGATGTTCACCCACAGTGAAGATGGAATCATCCATACTTCCTTGAAAAGGCATCTGGGTTAATTATAGCAAATATTTGCAACTTATAGAAGTACTGTGCTGAAACCATCCTGTCAAACTCATAAGAATTAAATGTTAAATCTTTAGGATTTTTTTTTATTTTTTGAGATGGAGTCTTGCGCTTGTCACCCAGGCTGGAGTGCAATGGCATGATCTTGGCTCACTGCAACCTCCGCCTTCCAGGTTCAAGCAATTCTTCTGCCTCATCCACCCAAGTAGCTGGGATTACAGATGGGCACCATCATGCCTGGCTGATTTTTGTATTTTTAGTAAAGACGGGGTTTTGCCATGTTGGCCAGGTTGGTCTCAAACTCCTGACCTCATGATCCACCCACCTCAGCCTCTCAAAGTGCTGGGATTACAGGTGTGAGCCACCGCGCCTGGCCCAAATCTGTAGGAATTTTTATATCTGGTTCCCACAGTCATTATTCAAAATTAAGTTATATAAACTTAAATATTTTGTTCCATTTTATTATTATTTATGTTATTGAGATTATTTACGTCTATTGTACCTGTATAATGAAATACTAAATAAGAATGTGCTACTGTGTATCTCTTCCCACCTATACATTCAGTAACATCAGCTTGGTAACTTTAACTTAGCAATAGTAAGAATTTTAACACCACGGAAGTCAGCCAATGCTATTAATAGGGGCTTTTTCAACCCAGAGTGCCAGTTGTTAAACATTAATTAGTTCACCATTACACCAAAGTAATATCAGCCGCATTTAACCTCAGTATCATATGAAATGCTTACAAACTCCCCTCCAAGCATCTGAATTTTATGACCTGCTTACAACCATCTTCATTAAAGCACTGAACAGAATATAAGGCAAATGAAAAATGTGAGGGTGTGGATCATTACTAAATAGTCACAAAATTAGCCCAGGTTTGGAAACTTCTCTTTGAGATAAATTTCACTTCATTATTGTGAATGATCTTTTTGATGTGCTTCTCTCAAGAAATTTTAAAATTTCCCTTGTAATTTCTTCATAGTTTCAGAAATTACATTTAAGTCTTTAATCCATTTTGAATTTATTCTTGAATATGGTGATAAATAAGGGAAGGGTCTAATTTCATTCTTCTGTATATGATTATCCTGTTTTTCCAACACCATTTATTAAACAAATTCTCCTTTCCCCAATGTATGTGCTTGGCCCCTTTGTTGAAAATCAGTTGGGTGAAAATTAGAGGATTTATTCTTGAGCTCTCAACTTTGTTCCATTGGTCATATGTCTGTTTTCATGCCAGTACCATGTAGATTTGATTACTACAGTTTTGTGGTATATTTTGAAGTCAGACAGAATGATGACTCCAGCTTTGTTCAAAGAGATAATCTGAAACTGGAACTTTTATTTAAGACAAAAGCAGAGCATAAAAGTTTAAAAAATTTGCAGCCTGACCATGTGGTGGAAAAGAAAAACCTGTTTCCAGGGAGAAATTCGAGCAGGTAGCAGAAATTTTTATAAAGAGGAGCCAAGCCAAGACAATGGGGAAAATGCTTGGAAGGCATTTCAGAGACATCCAGGGCAGATTCTCTCATCACAGGCCTGGTGGCCTAAGAGGGAAAGAATATTTTGTGCACCAGATCCAGGGTCCTACTGCTCTGCACAACCTCAGGACACTGCTCCCTGTGTCCCAGCCACTACAGCTCCAGCCATGGCTCAAAAGAACCAAGGTACAGCTCTGGCTGCTGCTTCAGAGGGTGCAAGCCATGGCTTCCATGGGGCGTTTAGCCTTCAGGTGTACAGAGAGCAAGAGTTGAGGCTTGGTAACACCCTCCTAGATTTTAGAAGATGTATGGAAATGCCTGGATTCCCAGGCAGAAGTCTGCTTGAGGGGTGGAGCCCTCATGGAGAACCTCTACTAGGGCAGTGCAGAGGGAAAATGTGGGGTTTGAGCCCCCACAGAGAGTCCCCACTAGAGCACTGCCTAGTGAAGCTAAGAGAACAGGGCCACAATTCTCCAGACCCCAGAATGATAGACCCACTGACAGTTTGCACCATGTGCTTGGAAAAGCCACAGGCCCTTAATACCAGCTTGTGAAAGCAGCGGTTGGTGGCAGGGTGGGACGGGGGGAGCTGTAAACTGCAAAGCCACAGAGGCAGAGCTATTGAAGACCTTGGGAGCCCACCTCTTGCATCAGTGTTACTTAGATGTGAGACATGGAGACAAAGGAGATTATTTTGTAGCTTTAAGATTGAATGACTGATCTGCTTGTTTTTGGACTTGCATAGGGCCTGTAACCCCTTTGTTTTGTCTGATTTCTCTCTTTTGAAACAGGAGTACTAACAAATGCCTGCACTCTATCTTGGAATTAACTGACTTGTTTAAAATTTTACAGGTTCATTGGTGTAAGGGACTTGCCTTGTCTGAGGTAAGACTTTGAACTGTGAACTTTTGTTTAAATGCTGGAGTGAATTAAGACTTTGGGAGACTGTCAGGAAAGCAGAATTGCATTTTGAAATGTAACATTAACTTTTTGTTTCATTGATCTTTTGTATTTTTTTCATTTCAAATTTATTTCTGCTCTGATATTTATTTTTATTAATTTGGGGTTTGGTTTGAACTTGCTTTTTAATGATGCATTGTTAAAATGCATGGTTAAATTGTTTATATAAAGTTTTTTCTATGTTTTTATGTAAGCACTTATATCAATTAACTTCCCTCTTTGTACTGTTTTTACTGTGATTCACAGGTTTTCATATATTTTGTTTCTATTATTATGTATTTCAAGACATATTCCAATTTCCTTCTTAATTTCTTCATTGACTCTCTGGTAATTCAGGAGCATATTGATCAATTTCTTTGTATTTTGTATAGTTCCCAAAATTCCTCATGTTATTAGTATCTAGTTTTACTCCATTATGGCCAGAGAAAATGTTTGATATTATTTCATTTAAAAAAAATTTAAGATTCATTTGGTGAACCTAACATATGGCCTCTTCTTGAGAATTATCCATGTGCTAAATAAAGGAATATTTATTCTGTAGTCACTGTATGAAATGTTCCGTAAATATCTATTAGATCCATTTAGGCCTCCGAAGGAACTGAAAGCTACCAAGAACCTAAAGCAGCAGTGCTCTCCATCTCATGTCGTGCTTCATTCTTCTCTTCAGCAGTGGCTTCCTCTGCTCCTCAGATCTCATGGCAGATAACATGGCAGCTGCACATTTTTCTTGAGGAGTAGACTTTTCTCCTTTTCTCTCCAGAAGGGAGCAGTATTGAAGGTGTAGGAGCCAAGGTAAAACTCTTCCTTTGCCCTCTGAAGGTTTGCTGAACAATCGACTGGCGAAACGCAGATTAATAGGAGAAATGGCGTCCAAATTTATTAGTGTGCACAGGAGAAAAACCACAGAGTGATTACCCAATATCCCAATGGGTAACTGGGGAAGGGAAATGGAAAAGTGTGGATGATTTTCGGAGGGTAGTAACTCATTTTCAGGGGAATTCAATGGGCTTAGAGAACATATAATGGCCTGGGACAAAATCTATTGGGCCTGAAGAGCCTATGATGGTTTGTGACAAAAGTCTGTCCAGGTTTGTTGACAGACTTCAGCTTTTCTTCCTGTGATATTTGTTCAGTTAATAAAAATTCAAGGAAGAAAAGAAAAAAAAAGATCCATTTAGTCTATATTGCAGATTAGATCAAATGTTTCTTTGCTGATATTCTGTCTAGAACTTCTGCCCAGTGTTGAAAGTGGGTTGTTGAAATCTCCAGCTATTATCATATTGGGACCTATCATTCTTTGTAGTGCAAATAATATCTTTTTATATATATGGGTACTCCAGATTGGGGTGTATATGTATTTAAAATTGTTATATTCTCTTCCTGAATAGACCCCTTTATTATTATATAGTGACCTTCTTTGTCACTTATTATAACTTTGTCTTAAATTCTATTTCATCTGATGTAAGTATAGTGACTCCTGCTATTATTTTGGTTTCCATTGACACGGCTTATCTTTTTCTATCCTTTATTTTCAGTCTATGTGTCTCTTTATAGGTGAACTGTGTTTCTTGCAGGCCAAATATAAATAAATCTTTATTTTATTACCCTTTCAGCTACTTTATATCTTTTGATTAAAGAATTTAGTCCATTCTCATTTAAGGTTATTATTGATAAGTAGGAACTTACTCCTGCCATTTTCTTGTTTTCATTTTTTCTCTTTCTCTCTCTCTCTCTCTCTCTCTGTGTGTGTGTGTGTGTGTGTGTGTGTGTGTGTGTGTGTGTGTGTGTAGTGTTCTTTCTTTCTTTCCTTCCTGTCTTCCTTTAGTGAAGTGATTTTCTCTGGTAATATGATTTAGTTTCTTGCTTTTTTATTTTTTGTGCATCCATCATATATTTTTTAGTTTATTAAGAGGCTTGCAAATACTATCTTGTAACCCATTATTTTATCTTAATAAGAACACTGTTTACATAAACAAACAAACATGGAGAAAGAAAACTAATACTCTATGTCTTAACTTTGCCCCCTCACTATTTTACTTTTTGTTTTCTATTTATATATTTTTGTACTTTTGCCAAAGTCTTGAAAAGTTGTTGTAGTTATTATTTTTGATTGGTTCATCTTTTTGTTTTCCTACTTAAAATAAGAATATTTTGCACATCAAATAACAGTGTTAAAATACCTGGGATTTTTTTGGACTTACTATTACCGGTGAGTTTTGTACCTTTATGTGATTACTTATTGTATATTCAAGTCCTTTTTTTTCTATTTGAAGTACTTCCTATAACATTTCTTGTAGGAATGATGTGGTGATGTGGTGTTGAAATCCCACAGCATTTGCTTTTCTGGGAAAGTCTTTATTTCTGTTTCATGTCTGAAAACTATTTTTGCTAGATATACTATTCTAGGGTAAAAGTTTTTCTCATTCAGCACTTTTCTTACAACATGCTACTCTTTTCTGGCCTATAACTAACTTTCCCATTAAAAAGTCTATAGCCAGACATATTGGAGCTCCATTGTACATTATTCATTTTTTTTTTCTCTTGCTGCATTTAGGATTCTTTCTCTATCCTTGATATTTGGGCATGTGGTTGTTAAGTTCTTTGAGGTAGTCCTCTTTGGGTTAAATGTTTGGTGTTCTATAGCCTTCTTGTATTTTCATATTGATATATATCTTCCTCAAGGTTTTGAATGTTCTCTGCTATTATCCCTTTCAATAAACTTTCTTCCCTTATCTCTTTTTCTGCCTCCTCCTTAAGGCCAATAACTCATAAATTTGCCCTTTTGAGGCTATTTCCTAGATCCTGTAGGTGTGTTTAATGGTTTTAAAATTATTTTATTTTTTTCTCCTCTAACTGTGTATTTTCAAATAACCTGTCTTCCAGCTCAATAATTTTTTCTTCTGCTTAATTAATTCTGCTATTAAAGGACTCTGATGCATTTTTCAGTATGCCAATTGCATGCATTTTTAGCTCCAGAATTTGTTTTATTCTTTTAAATTATTTCTATCTCTTTGTTAATTTATCTGACAGAATTATGAATTCCTCATCTGTGTTACCTTAAATTTTTTTGAGCTCTCTCAAAACAGCTATTTTAAAATTTCTGAAAATTTACATATTTCTGTTTTTCCAGAATTGGTCCCTGGTTTCTTACTTAGTTCATTTGGTGAGTTCATGTTTTCCCACATTGTGTTGATGGTAGTAGATATTAATATCTGGGCGTTGAGGAGTTAGATATTTATTGTAGTCCCCACTGTCTGGGCTTATTTGTAGTTGTACTTCTTGAAAAACCCTTCCAGATATTTGAAAGGAAGTGGGTGTTGTGATCTAAGCTGTAGCTGCTTTAGGGGGTACCTCAAGCCCAGTAACACTGTGGTTCTTGCAGACTTGTAGACGTAGCACCTTGAAGGTCTTGGACTAGATCTGAGGTAATTCTCTAGATTACCAGGCAGAGACTTTTGTTCTCTTTGGTTGCTTTCTCCCAAACAGAGTCTGTCTCTATCTCTCTCTCTCTCTCTCTGTTCTGAGCCACTGAATGCTGGGAGTGAAGTGGCAAAAGCACCCCCATGGCCACCACAAGTATGGCTTTTCTGGGTCAGACCTGAAGCCAGCAGAGCACTGGATCTTGTCCAAGTCCTGCTGTAACAACTTTCTGGCAACTGCTTATGTTTGCTCAAGGCCCTGGGTCTTCACAATCTGTAGGTATATAAGATGAAAGACAAACTCCTCTCACTCTTTTTTCTCCTCTCCTCAAGCAAAAGGAAGGGGTCTCTTTTGGAGCCAGGAGCTATGCAGCTTGAGTTTGGGGGAGGGGTGATGCCAGCACTCCCTTAACTGCTGCAGCTGGCATCTCAGTAGCTTGCATGCCCTTCTATTCCACTGTCTCTATGCCCAGTTCAGCCCTAGGACTTGCCTATGAGTTTGTCCTTATGGCCTAGACTGACTTTCAAGTTTACTTAGATACCCAGAGCACTTTGGCCTTTGGTGGTGACGTTTACAGAAACTTAATTTTGGATCACTGGAATCTGCAGTTCTCTCTGGCTAGGACTGGTTTAAATGCTTGCTCCATGGGAGGGCATCATCTGAGTTTGGTCTGGTTTTCCTTTCTGCTCTGATAGGACAGCAATGAGTTTAATGCCTCACAATTGCTGTGTTCTCCCTCCTCCAGTGCCCAGATATAGTCTCAGCTCTAGGCTACTGCTGGAGGGGGGTGGGGGAGGTGTGGCCTCAGAGATCCAAGACTGTTTTTTCTATCTTTTCTGAGCCTCTTTCAGTGATGTGGAGTAAAAACCAGGTGCTATGAGGGTTCACCTGAATTTTGTTTCTTGTAAAGTTGTTTTTTGTGTTGATAGTTCTTAAATTGGTACCCTTTTGGGGAGCACAATTGGCTTAGCCTTCTATTCCACCGTTTTTCTCTGCCTCCTCCTCATGAATCGCTTCAAGTTTTGTTTCTTTATGCGTTCTGCCACTCTATGTTCTTTAATTGGATAGTGTAATTCCTTTGCATTCGAGGTAATTATTGATCGTAAGAACTTACAACTATTACTTTGTTCATTGTTTTCTAGTTGTTTTGTAGGTCTTTTTGCCTTTTTCCTCTCTTCATATCTTTCTTTGTGGTAAATTTCTCTAATTGTATTTTTTAATCCCTTGCTTTTTAGCTTTACTGCATCTATTATAGATTGTTGCTTTGTGATTACCATTAGTCTTAGAAGAAACCTTGTTATAACAGGTTATTTAACAATTTAAGGTAATGCATATTTTAATTAGCTCTATTTAGAAATTCCACAATGTGTGTGTATATATATGTATGTGTGTGTATACATATATATACTTCAAAACACCATGTTGTTTATGATAAATATATACATTATTTGCCAACTCTTTAAATAAAACAAAAACATTTAAAAATTGTTACATGCAATAAAAGCAGTCCTTAATTGTAAATTTAGAACAATAAATGCATATAAGAAAATTAGGATATGTAAAATAATAATTTAAAATTTCACCTTAGTAAACTATAAAAAAGGGTAAATTCAATCCAACATAATTAGAAAGTTTATATAATCAATGTTAGAGTAAAAATTCACAAATTTGATAACTGAGATAGAATAGACTATTTGAAATATGCAAATAATCAAGTCTCACACAAGGAGAAACAGATAATCTGAAAATGGCTACATCTGTTTTAAAACTTGCATCAATAGTTAATTACCTCCAAAAAATAAAAACAGCAGGCCAAAATGATTCTACTTGTTAATTCTAGGACACAATTATGGAAAAAAAAATGATAGCATTTTTTATCTGCAACTTGTTCCACAAAAAATAAAAGCAAAGAGAATACTTCCCAACTGATTCTATGAGTGAGCATTGTCCTAATACCAAAACCATTGGATAAAGACATAACAAGAAATACAAAACTTATAAAAGACTTATATCCAAAATACTTAAATAACTCTAAAAATTCAACAATATGAAAGAAAACAACCTAATTAAAATATGGGTGAAGCGTCTTCATAGACACCTCAATACAGAAGATATAGTTAACAAATAAACAATGTAAAGATGCTTGATCAAATGGCATTAGGGAATTGCAAAGTAAAACAAGGTGTGAGATATCACTATGCACTTATAAGAATGGCTAAAATCCAAAATACTCAAAACACCAAATTCTGGTGAGGCTGTCATAAAATGAAGAAATAGTGCTCCTAAGTATTTACAGGCATAACTTGTTTCATGCATTTCACTGTATTGTGCATATATTGCTTCTTTTACACATTGAAGATTTGTGGCATCTCTATGTATACAAAATCTATCATTGCCTTTTTGCATGGACTCATTTTGTGTCTTTGTATCACATTTTGGTAATTCTCATGACATTTTAAACTTTTTCATTATTAGTATATCTGTTCTGTGATCAGTGATCTGTAATCAGTGATCTTTGATGATACAATCATTACTATTTTGGGGTACAAAGAATCATACCCACATAAGATGGTGAATCTAATTGATAAATGTTGTATATGTTCTGCTTGCTGAACTACTGGCTATTTCCCATCTCTCTCCCTCTTCTCTGGTCTCCCTATTCAATGAGACACAAAAATATTAAAATTAAACCAACGAATAATGCTACAATGGCCTCATAGTGGTCAAGTGAAATGAAGAGCTGTCCACCTTTCACTTTAAATCAAAAGCTAGAAAGTGATTACGTTTAGTGAGAAAGAAATGTTAAAAGCTTAGATAGGCTGAAAGCTAGGCTGCTTGTTACAATCAGTTGGCAAAGTTGTCAATGCAAAGGGAAAGTTACTAAAGGAAATTAAAATTGTTACTCCAGTGAACACATGAATGATAGGAAAGCAAAACAGCCTTATTGCTGATATGAAAAAAATTTTAGTCGCCTGGATAGAAGATCAAAAACCAGCCAGAAGATTCCCTTAAGCCAAAGCCTAATCTACAGCAATGCCCTAACTCTCTATAATTCTATGAAAGCCGAGAGAGGCTAGAAAGGTGTAGCAAAAAAGTTTGAAGCTAGCAGAGTTTGGTTTATGATGTTAAGCAACCATCGCCTCCATAAGTCAGCAGTCATCAAAAATGAGGCAAGATTGTTCATCAGAATAAAGGATTACAAATCATTGAAGGTTCAAATGAGCCTTAGCAGTTTTTAGCAATAAAGTCTTTTTAAATTAAAAAGTATGTACATTGTTTTCTTTAGATATAATGCTATTGCACACTTAATAGACTTCAGAACAGTATAAACACAACTTCTTATGCACTGGAAAAAATTCACGTGACTTGCTTTATGGGGATATATGCTTTATTGTGGTGGTCTGGAACCAAACCCCAATATCTCTTTGAGGTATTCCTATACTCATGAGTAGAAAACATGTCTACACAAAAAACCTGCACACAAATGTTTTTAGCAGCTATATTTGTAATTTTCAGAAATTGTCAGCAACCAAGAAGTCTTTCGATAGATGAATTGCTATTCAAACTGTGATACATCCATACCATGGATTATTATTCAGTAATAAAAATAAATGGGCTATCAAGCCACACAAGATCATTAAAACTACATTGCTTAGGGAATAAATCAATCTGAAAAGGCTACATACTGTATGTTCCAACTATATAACATTTTTGAAAAGCAAAACTATAGAAACAGTAGAAATATCAGCGGTTGTCAAAGGTTGAAGAGTGAGAGGGGATTTTATGAATAGGTGAAGCACAAATAATTTTAGGGTAGTAAAACTATTATTTATGATATAATGGTGAATATATTATATTGTGAATTTGTAAAAGTTCATGGACCTGTACAACACAAAGAATGAACCCCAATTTAGCTATTAATTTTAGTTAACAATAATATATCAATATTATTGGTTTATCAATTCTAACAGTAATGTACTATATAAATACAAGATGTTAATAATAGAGAAAACTGGGGGCAGGTATAGAGTCATATAGGAACTCTATACTTGAGGTCAATTTTTCTGTAAACTTAAAAGTGTTCTAATAAATAAATTATATTATTTAAATATATAAAAGTGTTCTAATAAATTATTTTATTTAAAAATAAAATAAAATGGATAAAATTACATTGACCATCAGTGTATAAAATCCTTGAGTTGCATTTCTGTTTTTATAGAAAAGAGTTCCAAAAGTAAAGTGAGTCAATACGTATGTCTCTTGTGCCTGCACACTGAACTTGGGTCCTGTCTCCGTTGCTCCATCTCCTATTCTCTGGAAGGCACCAGGTGACTCTGTCACAGCCCATGTCACCCTGTGACCTGGAGGTGCTGGGGAATTCATAGGGAGGATACTGGGACACCCAGAAGCTGGGAAATGTTACTCTCCATTACTTAATTACCAAACCCTCCTGAGAACAGTTCAGTGGATGTCAGCTAAGATGGCCAACTAAATGCAGCCAGGAAAAACATCTTGCACCAAAAGACAGAGACATGAGGAAGGCTGGCAAACTGCGAGCAGATTTTTGGAAGGAAGGCGTTCAGAGTGGATAGAAGGATGCAAACACTAGGTTGGAGAGGGATGAAGCTGGGAACCCGTGACTGGGCTATTGAGCACTGGAACTCATCCCTGGCTCCCGGTGGCTCCTGGGAAGGGGTGAGTTCAACAGACAAGGAGTGGCCCCATCTTATCATGGACCTTGGAATCCTAGCTACAGGAGACCCCATGACCCCAGTGGACACTTGAGCCGGCAGAGAGAGCTGCTTAGAGAGGTGGCAGGAGCAGGACTCCAGCCTCTGCAGAACCTAGAGGGTTTGGCATGGAAACGAAACGGCTGCAGTGGAAGATGGCCAGTGATCCCCATACTCCACGGCTTCCCACATTTCCCTATGTGGCTTTAGCTTTTGGGTAACTATTGGACGTGGACAAAGCAGCAAGGTCTTGCCCATGAAATGGGGACAGTCTGATCTGAGTGCTACCTTGTCTGCTAGCCTCTCTTGGGGCCCCACCCTGGACATACCTGCATGCAGGGCAGCCTCAGATCCTGAATCAGAAAGCTGCCCAAGGACCCTCTTTGTAACTTCCTCACTGCAGACCAAGCCTAACTTTTAAAGAGCTCCAGAAAATTGGTCCCACCAATGCACACACACCCACTCATAGCTTTCCCCCACCAAATCCTCCTGCCTTCACTTTGCGCCTGCCAGCTCCTCATCCCATTGATGCATGGGCACTCCACTGCTGTAGCCAGCACAAGTGCATGCAAAAACACTGGAGTCCTGCCCCTGCTGTGCTGCTGCCACTGGCTGAAGCCCATGCAAGAATGTTGCCAAAGTAACCCCGCTGATGAGTACCACACATCCACACCACTGTTGTTGCTGGCATGCACAAGGGACCACAGTCCCTGCTGCCACTATCCTAATGAAGTACTTTGTCTGGCAACCCCCATTAGACTGCTGTGACCAGAAAACTAGGAACAATTCAATCCCTCAAGTGCAACAGTTTCCTAACCTCAAGGGGCCAGAGAACAAAGCAAGGGGTCTGGTATTAGTCCCCCAGAGTTAGAGCATACATCCCAGGAGAGCTGATCTGAACCTCAGCACCCTGAAATCTTCCAGAGAGGAAGCCAGTTGACTAAACTGAACTCATAACACAATAAAATACCCAAGGGTATCAACAAAAATAAAAGCAAAAATCCCTATACAAAGGAGAGCAACTTCAAAGATTAAAGGAATATCACCCAACACAGATGAGAAAGAGCCAGTGCAAGAACAAAAAACCAGAGTGTCTTCTTACCTCCAAATGACAGCACTCGTTTCCCAGCAACGGTTCTTAAACATGCTGAAATGGCTCAAATGACAGACATGGGATTCAGAATATGGATAGGAATGAAGTTTATCAAGATTCAGGAGGAAGGCAAAACACAATACAAAGAATTTACTGAAAGATGAAATAGCCATTTTAAGAAAGAACCAAATTGATCTGACAGAACTGAAAAACTTACTTCAAGAATTTCAGAGAAGAATTGCATATATTAAGCAAAATGTACCAAGCTGAGGAAAGAATCTCAGAGCTCAATAACTGCTTTTCTGAATTAACTCAGTCAGACAAAAATAAAGAAAAAAAGAATAAAACACTAAAATTTGAGAAATATGGGATTATGGAGAGACCAAATCTATGACTCATATCCCTGAAAGAGAGAAAGAGAAAGCAAGTAACTTGGAAAACATATTTCAGGATATCATCCATGAAATTTTTCACAACTTCATTAGAGAGGCCAACATTCAAATTCAGGAAATGAACAAAAATAATAAAAAAAAAACCTGTGAGATACTATGGAAGACAACCATCCTCAAGACATATAGTCATCAGATTCTCCAAGAAAGTCACAGAAGAAAAAAATGTTAAAGGCAGCTAGAGAGAGGAGGCATGTAACCTACAAAGGGAATCCCATCAGGCTAACAGAAGATCTTTCAGTAGAAAACTAAAAACCAGAAGAGATTGGGAGCCTACACTCAGCATTCTTAAAGGAAAGTAATTCCAACCAAAAACCCCATCATCTCAGCCCAAAATCTCCTTGAGCTGATAGGCAACTACAGCAAAGTCTCAGGATACAAAATCAATGTGCAAATATCACAAGCATTCCGATACAACAATAACAGACAAACAGAGAGCCAAATCATGAGTGAACTCCCATTCACAATTGCTTCAAAGAGAGTAAAATACCTAGGAATCCAACTTACAAGGGACATGAAGGACCTCTTCAAGGAGAATTACAAACCACTGCTCAATGAAATAAAAGAGGACACAAACAAATGGAAGAAAATTCCATGCTCATGGATAGGAAGAATTAATATCGTGAAAATGGCCATACTGCCCAAGGTAATTTATAGATTCAATGCCATCCCCATCAAACTACCAAGGACTTTCTTCACAGAATTGGAAAAAACTACTTTAAAGTTCATATGAAACCAAAAAAGAGCCTGCATCACCAAGTCAATACTAAGCCAAAAGAACAAAGCTGGAGGCATCACGCTACCTGACTTCAAACTATACTACAAGGCTACAGTAACCAAAACAGCATGGTACTGGTACCAAAACAGAGATATAGACCAATGGAACAGAACAGAGCCCTCAGAAATAATGCCGCATATCTACAACCATCTGATCTTTGACAAAACTGACAAAAACAAGAAATGGGGAAATGATTTCCTATTTAATAAATGGTGCTGGGAAAACTGGCTAGCCATATGTAGAAAGCTGAAACTGGATCCCTTCCTTACACCTTATACAAAAATTAATTCAAGGTGGATTAAAGACTTAAATGTTAGACCTAAAGCCATAAAAACCCTAGAAGAAAACCTAGGCAATACCATTCAGGACATAGGCATGGACAAGGACTATATGACTAAAACACCAAAAGCAATGGCAACAAAAGCCAAAATTGACAAATGGGATGTAATTAAACTAAAGAGCTTCTGCACAGCAAAAGAAACTACCATCAGAGTGAACAGGCAACCTACAGAATGGGAGAAAATTTTTGGAATCTACTCATCTGACAAAGGGCTAATATCCAGAATCTACAATGAACTCCAGCAAATTTACAAGAAAAAAACAAACAACCCCATCAAAAAGTGGGCAAAGGATATGAACAGACACTTCTCAAAAGAAGACATTTATGCAGCCAAAAGACACATGAAAAAATGCTCATCATCACTGGCCATCAGAGAAATGCAAATCAAAACCACAATGAGATACTGTCTCACACCAGTTAGAATGGCGATCATTAAAAAGTCAGGAAACAACAGGTGTTGGAGAGGATGTGGAGAAATAGGAACACTTTTACACTGTTGGTGGGACTGTAAACTAACTCAACCATTGTGGAAGTCAGTGTGGTGATTCCTCAGGGATCTAGAACTAGAAATACCATTTGACCCAGCCATCACATTACTGGGTATATACCCAAAGGACTATAAATCATGCTGCTATAAAGACACATGAACATGTATGTTTATTACGGCACTATTCACAATAGCAAAGACTTGGAACCAAGCCAAATGTCCAACAACGATAGACTGGATTAAGAAACTGTGGCACATATACACCATGGAATACTATGCAGCCATAAAAAATGATGATTTCATGTCCTTTGTAGGGACATGGATGAAGCTGGAAACCATCATTCTCAGCAAACTATCGCAAGGACAAAAAACCTAACACTGCATGTTCTCACTCATAGGTGGGAATTGAACAATGAGAACACATGGACACAGGAAGGGGAACATCACACACCAGGGCCTGTTGTGGGGTGGGGGGAGGGGGGAGGGATAGCATTAGGAGATATACCTAATGTTAAATGACGAGTTAATGGGTGCAGCACACCAACATGGCACAGGTATACATATGTAACTAACCTGCACGTTGTGCACATGTACCCTAAAACTTAAAGTATAATTAAAAAAAATAATTTTATATACAGCCACAGTAAGCTTAATAAGCAAAGGAGAAATAAGATCCTGTTCAAACAGGATAAATAAAGGTGAAGGGAATTTGTTACTACCATATCTACCTTATAGTAGGTCCTTAACAGTGTGCTAATTATGAACATGAAAGACTATTACTGGCCACCACAGAAAACACACTAAAATACATAGACTATTGTAACTATAAATCAACTACACAATTAACTCTGCAAAATAATCAGCTAACAACATGATGACAGGATCAAATCTGCAAATATCATTATTAACCTTGAATATAAACAGGCTAAATGCCTCAATTAAAAGGCACAGAGTGGCAAACTAGATAAAGAAGCAAGACCAAATGGTATGTTGTCTTCAAGAGACCCATCTCCCATGCAATAACACCCATAGGCTCGAACTAAAGGGATCAATAAAAATGTACTGATAAAATGGAAAAGAGGCAAACAGTTGTTACTCTAATTCAGACAAACAGACTTTAAACCAACAGTGATCAAAACAGACAAATAAGGGTATTACATAATGGTAAAGGATTCAATTCAACCAGAAGACCTAACTATTCTATATATATTTGAACCCAAGTCAGGAGCACCTAGATTCATAAAGCAAGAACTGGGAGACCGCCAGGTGCCTTGGCTCACACCTATAATCCCAGCACTTTGGGAGGCTGAGGCAGGTGGATCACTTGAGGTCAGGAGTTCGAGAGCAGCCTGGCTAACATGGAGAAACCCCGTCTCTACCAAACATACAAAAATAGCCAGGCGTGGTGGCACATGCCTGTAATCCCAGATACTGGGGAGGCTGAGGCAAAAGAATTGCTTCAACTCGGGAGTCAGAGGTTGCAGTGAGCCGAGATCATGTCACTGCACTCCAGCCTGGGAGAAGAAGTGAGACTCCATCCCCCCAAAAAAACAAAAACAACTAAGAAATCAACAAAGAGACATAGATAATGCCACAGTAACAGTAGGTGACTTCAACACACCATTGACAGCATTAGACAGATCGGGAGGCAGAAAATGAATAAAGATATTTGAGTCCTGAACTCAAATCTAGAACAAATGGACATAACAGATATCTACAGCACTCTCCAACCAAAAACAACAGAATATAAATTAGTCTTATGTGTTCATGGCACATACCTCAAAACTGACTACATAACTGGACCTAAAATAGTTATCAGCAAATTAAAAAAAGTTATGCCAACCACACTCTTGGACCACAATGCAATAAAAATAAAAATTAATACTAAGAAGATCACTCAAAACCATATCACTACATGAAAATTTAACTACCTGCTCCTGAATGATGTTTGGGTAAACAATGAACTTAAGAAAGAATTCAAGAAATTTCTTGAAATGAATGAGAACAAAGATACAACAGACCAGAATCTCTGAAACACAACTACAGCAGTAAGAGGAAAGTTCACAGTGCTAAATGCCCACATAAAACAGTTAGAAATTCTCAAATGAGCAACCAGATATCACACATAGAGGAACTAGAAAACAAGAGAAAACTAAACCCAAAACTAGCAGAAGACAAGAAATACACAAAATCAGCAGAGCTGAAGTAAATGAAATTGACATGCACAAAAACACACAAAAGATCAATGTCACCAGAAGTTGGTTCTTAGAAAGAATAAGATTGATAGAATGCTAGCTAGATTAATAAAGAGAGAGAGAGAGAGAGAGAGAGAGAGACAGAGACAGAGAGACAGAGAGGTTTCAAACAAACATAATCAGAAAAGACAATAAGGACTTTACCATCGACTGCAGAGAAATTAAAAAAAAAAACAAAAAATGAGGTTGGGGGAGGAGTGAAGAAAGATGGTAGAATAGAAGGCTCCATTGATGGTGCCCCCAGCAAGGATGCTAATTTAATAACCATCTAGACAAAAGGCCACCTTCATGAGAACCAAAAATCAGGGGAGAATTCAAAGTATCTGGTTTTATATTTATATAGCTTAAAGAGGCAGAAAAAAACAATCTTAAATTATAAACATGACTCTCCCCCCATCCCTGGTAGTGGCTGTGCAGTGAGAAGAGAGAATCTGTGCACTTGGGAGATACAGAGAGCAGCAATTGTGACACACTGCATTGAACTCAGTGCTGCTCTGTTATAGCAGAAAGCAAAACCAGACCAAACTCAGCTGATGCCTGTCCATAGAGGAGGTATTTAAACCAGCCCTAGGTTGAGGGGAATCACCCATCCCAACAGTTGGAACCTGAGTTCTGCAAAGCCTCCCCACTTCAGGCTGGAGTGCTATGGGTCCCTAAATAAACATGAAAGACAGCCACAAGTACTGCAATTACTAGGGGAGTCCTGGTGCTGAACTGGGCTCAGAGCCAGTAGATGGGTGAGCCATGCAACCTACTGAGACACGAGCCAGAGCTGCTGAAGGAGGGCTGGGGCCACCCTTCACTTAAACACAGGCTGCATATCTTGCAGCTCCGAGAGTCCCCTTCCTTCCACTTGAGGAGAGGAGAGGAAATCGTGGGGAGAACATTGTCTTACATCTTAGATACCAGCTCGGTCAAAGCAGGATAGGGCACTTGTCAGAGATATGACGTGCCCTTTACAGGAACTAGCACCCAGATTACATTTCTAGACATACCTTAAGTCAGAAGGGAGCCTGCTGCCTTGAAGGGAAGAACCCAGTCTTGGCAGGATTTATCACTTGCTAACTGAAGAGCCCCATGGGCCCTGAATAGCCAGCAGTAATACCCAGGTACTACATGATGGGTCTTGGGTGAGACTCTGAGACTTGCTGGTTTCAGGTGAGATTCAGTACATTCCTAATTGTGGTGGCTATGGAGAGAGACTTCTGCTTGAGAAAGGTGAAGAGAAAAGTAAAGGGGACTTTGTCTTTCACGATAGTTACAATCTCTGTCACAGTGGGGTAGAGCACCTGGCAGGCTTTGGAGGTCCCTGATTCCAGGATTTGGCTTTTAAATGGCATTTCTGGACCTGCCCTATGCCAGATGGGAGCCCACTGCTCTGAAGGGTGACTCCCAGGCAAGGCAGCATTCACCCCAAGTTGACTTAAGAAAGCCCTTGGGCCTTAAGGAAACATTGGCAATAACCTGGCAGTACTCCCCACGGGCCTGTGGTGGCCACAGTGTGAAGCTACTCTGCCTGTAAAAAGGGGAGGGAAGAGCAGTAAGGACTTCACCTCATGGATTGAGTCCCAGCTCAGTAATAGTACAATAAAAAAACAGGTAGGCTTCAAAGGTCTTTGACTCCAGTCCCGGGCTCCCAAATGGCACCTCTCTACCTGCCTGGGACCTGGGGAAATTTACGCCCTGAAGAAAAAGAAAGAAGCCTGACTGGCTTTGCCACCTGCTGATTAGAATTGAAACATTTCTTAAAACACAATATACCAAAACCTATGATACAGGGAAAACAGTAGTAAGAGGAAAATTTGTAGCTATAAATGAGATCAAAATATGAGAAAAACTTCAAATGATTAACATAATGATGCATCTTGAAGAACTAGAAAAGCAAGAGCAAACCAAACCAAAAATTAGTAGAAAAAAGAAATAATAAATATCAAAGCATAAATAAAATTGAAATGAAAAGTAATATAAAACATTAGCAAAACCAAAAGTTGGCTTTTTGAAAAGTTAAGCAAAATTGACAAACTTTTAGCAAGACCAATAAAAAAAGAGAAGACACAAACATAAAATCAGAGATGAGAAAGAAGACATTTATAATTCATACTGCAGAAATTCAAAGGATCATTAGGTGGCTACTAAGAAATATTACATGCCAATAAATTGGAAAATCTAGAAGAAATGAACAAATTCCTAGATATATACAACCTACCAATATTGAACCATGAATAAATACAAAATCTGAACAGACCAACAATAAGTAATTAGATTGAAGCCATGATAAAATAAAATAGTCTGCTAGCAAAGAAAAACCTGGGACTCAATGGCTTCACTGCGGAATTCTACCAAAAGTTTAAAGCAGAACTAATACCTATTCCACCCAAATTATGCAAAATGTAGAGGAGGAGGGAATAGTTCCAAACTCATTCTACCAAGGCCAGTATTACCCTGATAGCAAAACCAAAGACATATTAAAAAAGGAAAACTATGGGCCAATATTATCGTTGATAAATATTTATGTAAAAATAATCAACAAAATACTAGCAAATAAAATTTGACAACACATCAAATGCATCACTCATCATAATCAAGTGGTATTCAGCCCAGGGATACAAAGGTGGTTCAACATAGGCAAATCAGTTAATGTGATACATCATACAAACAGAATGAAGGGAAAAAAACTGTATGATAATTTCAGTTTATGCTGTAAAAACCTTTGATAAAAGTAAACATCCCTTCATGATAAAAGAGCTTAAAAAAACTGGAGATGAAAGAAACATATTGCAACATAATTAAAGCCATATATGACAGACCCACAGCTGGTATCATAGAAAGATTTTTCTAATATTTGGAATATACCAAGGATGCCCTCCTTCACCACTGTTATTTACATCAAAATGGAAGTCCTAACTAAAGCAATTAGACAAGAGAAAGAAGTAAAGGACATTCAAAATAAAATGAAAGAATTCAAGTCATACTTGTTTGCAGATGACATCATCTTACCTTTGGAAAATCATAAAGACTCTACCAGAAACTATTAGAATGGATAAATAAATCCAGAAGTTGCAAGATACAAAGTCAACATAAAAAAAAATCAGTGCCATTTTCACATGTCAAGGGAGAACAATCTGAAAAAAAAATCAATAAATTAATGACATTTACAATAGTCACAAATGAAGTTAAATACCCAGGAATTAATTAACTTAATTAAAGAAGTTAAAGATCTCTGCAATAAAAACTATAAAATATTGACAAAACAAAGAGGACACAAAAAACTGGAAAGATATTCCAGGTACATGGGCTGGAAGAGTCAATATTGTTAAGGGTTCATACTACCCAAAGCAATCTACATATTCAATGCAATCCCTATCAAAATACCAATGACACTCTTCACAGAAGTAGAAAAAAACAATCCTAAAAATTATATAAAATCACAGAAGACCCAGAAAAGCCAAAGGTATCCTGAGCATAAAGAACAAAACTGGAAGAATTACATTACCTGATTTCAAATTATACTGCAAAAATATAGTAACCAAACTGCATAGTACTGGCATAAAATCAGACTAATAAAGCAATGGAACAGAATAAAGAATAAAGAAACAAATCCAACACCTACAGTTAAGTCATTTTCCACAAAGATTCTATGAACCTACAGAGGGGAAAAGACAGTCTCTTTAACAAATGGTGCTGGGTAACCTGGATATACATATGTAGAAGAATAAAACTAAACCCCTATCTACTGCCATATACAGAAATTGAATCAATATGAATTAAAGACTTAAATCTTAGACCTCAACCTATGAAACTACAAAATGAAAACATTGGAGGAATTCTCTAGGACTTTGGGCTGCGCAAAAATTTCTTTGGTAATACTCCACAAACACAGGCAACCAAAGTAAAAATGGACAAATGGGATCACATCAAGTTAAAAAGCTTCTGCACAGCAAAGGATACAATCAACAAAGTGAAGAGATAACACACGGAGTGGGAAAAAATATTTACAAACTAACTATCTGAAAAGGAATTAATAACTAGAATATATAAGGAGCTCAAACAGCTCTATAGAAAAAAAATCAAATAATCCAATCAAAATACAGGGAAAATATTTGAACATGCAACTTCTCAAAAGAAGAAAAACAAATGGCATGCAATAACAAATTCTGCTGAAGATGTGGAGAAAAGGGAACCTCATTCACTGTTGCAGGAAATGTAAATTAGTACGACCACTATGGAGAACAATTTGGAGGTTCCTCAAAAAACTAAAAATAGAGTTAATAGAGTTATCACATGATCTAGCAATCCCACTGCTGGGTATATATACAAAAAAAAAATCACGATATTGAAGAGATATCTGCACTATAATGTTTACTGCAGCAATATTCACAGTAGCCAAGATTTGGAAACAATCTAAGTTTCTATAAATAGCTTGACTAAAGAAAATTAGGTACTTATAAACAATGGAGTACTATTCACCCATAAAAAATGAGATCCTGTCAATGGCAACAACATGGATAGAATATGAGGTCATCATGTTTAATGAAATAAGACAGACACAGAGAGACAAGCATGATGTGTTCTCACTTATTTGTCGGAGCTAAAAATTCAAACAATTGAAGCCATGGATATAGAGAATACAGAGATGGTTAATAGAGACTAGAAATAGTAATCCAGGGGCTATGACAGAAGAGAGGAGTGTTGATGGGTAAAAAATATAGTTATAAAGAAAAAATTAGACCTAGTGTTTGCTAGAACTAAATGATGACTATAATAATAAATAATTTAATTGTTCACTTTAAAATGAGTATAAGTATATAATTTGATTGTTTGAAAGACAAAGGATAAATGGCTGAGGTGATGCATACCTATTTACCCCAATGTTAATGTTATGCATTGCACGTTTGTATCAAGACATCTCATGTAACCCATAAATGTATGTACCTATTATGCACCTACAAAAATTAAAAATTAAAAAATATTAAAAGTAATACAAAAAAAACCTTCAAGGGGTATTGTGGAAACCTCTATATACACAAATTAGAAAACCTACAAGAAATCAGTAAATTCCTGAAAATGTAAAATCTCCCAATATTGATCCAGGAAGAAGTTTAAAACCTCAGCAGACCAGTAATAAGTTCTTAAATTGATGCAGTAATAAAAAGCTTACCAACCAGAAGCAGCCCTGGACCAAATGGATTAACAGCCAAATTCTATCAGATGTATAAATAAGACTTGTTAGCATTCCTATTAAAACTTTTCCAAAAAAATTAGGATAAGGGTTTTCTCCTTAACTCATTCAATGAGGCCACCTTCATTCTGATACCAAAACCTGACAGAGACATACACACACACACACACACACAAAGAAAACTTCAGGGCAAGATTCTTGCTGAACACAGAAGCAAAAATTCTCAACAAAACACTAGCAAACCACATCCAGCAGCACGTAAAAAAGCCAATCCACCACACTCAAGTAGGCTTTGTCTCTGAGATTCAAGGCTGGTTCATATACAGATCAGTAAATCACATACACAGAATTAAAAACAAACCAACAAAGAAAATACATGATTATCTCAAAAGATGCAAAAAAGGCTTTTGACAAAATTAAACATTCCCTCATGTCCTTCAATAAACTAGGTATTGGAAGAACATGTCTCAAAATAATAAGAGCCATCTATGACAAACCCACAGCCAATATTGTACTGAATGGGCAAAAGCTGGAAGCATTCTCCTTGAAAACCAGAATAAGGATGCCCACTCTCACCACTCCTATTGAATATAGTACTGGAACTTCTGGCCAGAGGAATCAGCCAAGATACATACATAAAAGTTATCCAAATAGAAAGACAGGAAGTCAAGCTATTTCTATTAGCAGATGATATAATTTTATATGTAAAAATTCCAGTGGTCTGTGCTCATAAACACCTAGATCTGTAAACAATTTCAGCAAAGTTTCAGACTACAAAATAAACCTACAAAAATCGGTATCATTTCTGTACACCAACAACATCCAAGCTGAGTGTCAAATAAAAAAATAAATCTTATTTTACAATATCCAAAAAATAAAATAATCCCTAAGAATACAGCCTACTAGGGAGGTGAAGAATGTCGACATGAGAATTACAAAATACTGTTGAAAGAAATCATACATGACATAAACAAGGGGAAAATCATTTCACATGCATAGGAAAAATACTGTTAGAATGGCCATATTGCCCAATGCAATTTACACATTCAATGTTATTTCTGTCAAACTACCAATGGCATTTTTCACAGAATAAGAAGATAACTATGCTAAAATTCATATGGAACCAAAAGGGAGACCAAATAGTCAATGCAATCCTAAGCAAAAGGAACAAAGCTGGAGGCATCACATTACCTGGCTTAAAACTATACTACTAGGCCATAGTAAACAAAACAGCATGGTACTGGTACAAGAACAGACACATAGACCAATGGAACAGAACAGACATTCCACAGATAATGCTACATACCTAAAAGCATCTGATGTCAGATGACATCAGATTTTGATGACAAAGTCAGCAAAAACAAGGAATGGGGAAAGGACTGCCAATTCAATAAATGGTTCAGGAGTAACTGGCTAGCCATATGCAGAAGATTGAAATTGGACCCCTTCCTTATACCATATACAAATTAACTCAAGACGGATTAAAGACTTAAATTTAACATTTAAAACTATATAAACCATGACCAATGACCTAGGAAAACCATTCTAGACATAAGCCCTGGCAAAAATTTTATGATGAAGGCTCCAAAAGCAATTGCAACAAAAACAAAAATTGACAATTGGAATCTAATTAAAATAAAGAGCTTCTGCACAGCAAAAGAAACTATCATCAGCGTAACCAGACAACCTAGAAAATGGGAGAAATTATTTGCAAAGTATGCTTCGGACAAAGATCTAATATGAAGAATCTATTAAGAAATTTAAACAAATTAATAAGCAAAAAATAGACAACCCCACTAAAAAGTGGGCAAAATACATGAACAAACATTTTCAAAAGAGGATTTACACATGGCCAACAAGCATATGAAAAAATGCTCAACATCATTAATCATTAGAGGAATACAAATCAAAGCCGCAATGAAATACTATCTCACAACAGTCAGAATGGCTATTATTAAAATGTCAATAAATAAAAGATGCTGATAAGGTTGCGGAGGAAAGGAAAGGCTTAAACACTGCTGGAGGAAATGTAAATTAGGTCAGCCATTGTGGAAATTAGTTTGGAGATGCCTCAAAGACCTAAAAACAGAACTACCATTCTACCCAGAAATCCCATTACTAGGCATATACCCAAAGGAATATTCTACCATAAAGACATATACATGCATATTTTCATCGCAGCACTGTTCCCCATGGCAAACACACGCAATCAACCTAAATGCCCATCAACAGTAGACTGGATAAAGGAAACATGGTACATAGACTTAATGATATATATGAGATAATTTCCTTTGGAGTAACATGGACGGAGCTGGAGGCCATTAACCCAAGTGAACTAATATAGGAACAGAAAATTAAATTCTGCACATTCTCACTTGTAAGTGGGAACTAAACATTGAATACTAATGAACACAAAAAAGCAAACAATAGACACCAGGGCCTACTTGAGGGTTCAGGGTAGGAGGACGGTGAGACTGAAAAACCATCATCTATTGGGTAATATGCTTATTAGCTGGATGACAAAATAATCTGTATACCAAACCCCCATGACACACAATTTACCTATACAAAAAACCTGCACATGTACCCTGAATCTAAAATAAAAGTTAAAAACATGTGTATGGTTATATTTAAGAGGATTGTTATATATTAATGAATTTGCCAAAGTGTTTTACCAGTCCCCACACCAATGATCACTGTTCCATCTCAGACTCTTGTATGGGATTTTCAATTTTTTGAACTACTCTACTCTAATCCTGTCAAGTCAACTCACAAAAGAATATATATTGGTTATATGTATGCTAAGTCATGAGGATATGGATAGAAATAACAAAATGCTTATTCTAATAGGAAAACAAAGGTAGTAGGTTTGTCTCTTCTTGGCTCCTGAGCATCCTCCATTGATCTAACCCTTAGCTGTATCAAAGCATTGAGTAATTTTTTCTCTTATCTTATAAATTCAATTTTTCAGTGAATAAAAACATAACTTATTATGCCTGTAAAACAGAAAACCCTTATTATGTTTATCAGTAGTTTGCTCCATTTTAATGCTGAGTACTATTCCATAGTAAAAGTTTAACACAGTTTCTTCATCCTTTCACCAGCTGACGGACTTTGGGCTGTTTCTAGTTTGGGTTTCTTATGAATAAAGCTGCTATCAATATTTGTGCACAAATCTTTGTTGGTGTATCTCAAAAAGATTATGCTAAGTGAAAGAATTCAGACACAAAAGACTACATATTATCTAATTTTATTTGTATATTATAGAAGAGACAAAGTATAGTGACTGATACCTGATCAGCGGCAAAGGAACACTAATACATTTTAAGAGTGATAGAAATACTCTATATCTTGATTTTGGTGTTGCTCCACGCCTATGTACATTTGCCAAAACTCATCAAATTGTGCACTTGAAGTTGGTAAAAAAAATTATGTAAATTTTACCTTAATAAAACTGACCAAGAAAATAGACAATTACTAATTGGCAAAGATAGTACAGTATCAACCTATCAAGTGCCTCATAATTTGCAAAACTGGCTCTCTCACACTGATGCTAGTTTATTCTATTGTATAGAGAAGTGTTAGTTCCTCGTCTTCATTGCCTTGATACCTACTTCCCTTTCAGGGTTTTATTTTGTCAACTGTGAATGGAAAATAACGTGGTTGCTGAGCCATACGTTTCTTTATGTCCTTTAACTACAGAAAGATGCAGCTGAAGCTTTCAAAATAGTGTTTATAATGACTACATTCTAAATCAAGGATGATTCTAATTCCCAGTCTCCATCTGGCAGGACTGAAGGGGATGCTTTTATTTCTTCAGTTGCAGAGTGTTTATGGCTGTATCCACAGTGCCTATCATAGTAGGCATTCCACGAATATTTATTGACTAAGGAAAATATTGTTAAAATGTTCATTCTGTTTTAAAGTATACTATTGGGAAAAATGGATCTGATGAGAAAACCTCCTTAACTACAATGTAATCTATAATCACAGGCTACCAGCCTCTTTAGAAGTAAGAGTACATGGTGCAGTGCTCCATACAAATATTTCCACCGGGACAAAGCCACTCTTTTTCCCACTTGGTGGTGGCTGCTAATGACTCACAGCTTATGAATCCCCTCTGGAAATTACCTTTGACTTAATGAAGCAACCCTGCCCAAAGCTATACCCCTTCCTTTGCAACAGCCTGCACTGAATGTCTGGTCAGTGTGACGGGACAAAGACCTGACCCCCTTGCTTCAATTCAGGACAATTCTGAAGGACAACTCCAGTTTCAGAGGTCCCTGTGGGACAGTTTGATTGCAACCACATCAAGGTTTAAATTCTCTCTCTGCTCTTCCTTCTTCTCTCATTCACCTAAAGATGCCACTTTTGAGGCCATTCTCCAATAAACCTACATTTTACAACTGTTTGCTTCCCTGAGAAACCTGACCTATAGTCTCAACTATGGCATTTTGGAGCTGGATTATTCACTGGTTAGATAGAAGGGATGACCTCATTTCTGGTAGTAGTTGGAGCACTAATAGTCACTGGCATGATATAGCAGTGCAATTATTAAAATATTCATTGGCGGTAAACTGGAATGGAATAGGGGATAGAAAAGAATGTAATAGTATACACAATATCTGAGGCCTTTACAAGGTTTTAGGAGAGTGGTAATTATAAGGGGTATGAAATTGGATGGTTTTGTGGTTATTAATGATGCACCGGAGAAAAACAAGCAAAGGCTGAGTGTAACGAATTCCCAATTTAAGGCAAAATAGAAAAATCTGAGGGATTCTTTTATATAAAGAACCTCTCATCTCCTGCAGCTGAAGGGCAGAAAAAGCTGAGGTTATGAATCAGAAATTATTTACAAGGGTAGAGTAGCTCAAGAAGCTTGAATGCATGGATGTGAGGGTGGTCTGGCTGTGACATCTGTCACCCCATTGATTGCCAGGGTTGATTCGGTTGATATGGCTGGCTAGGTGGGTGTCCCCTTCCTGCCTCACCACTCCATGTACATCCCTCCTGAAGCTGCTTGCTTGGTCAAAGAGGACAACCATCCCTGATAGAGGAGGACCGGTCTTCAGTCAAGGGTATACGAGTAGCTGCGCTCCCCTGCTAGAGCCTCCAAACAAGCTCTCAAGAAGATTGAATGTTTAATCCTGATTATGTTAGACAGAACAATCACAGAGAAGAAGAAAACTCTGAATCTTGGGATGGGGCCATCTGTGTCAATATATCTGCAATTCTTGATTCCTCGGGTTCCCTTGAACCCACTGGGTTGGCCCAGTGTCTCACTGTTGTCTGTCAAAATAGCATACATTCTTTTCTTGAAGAAAGTGCACAGGTTTTTGCTTTGTACGACAATTTAGAGTCACAATTAATCTCCACCCACCTTCTGGCCAACAGAAAAATAACTAAGGTGAAGTCATAACATAACTTGGCTAGGGAAAGTACTGGGTTGGCAAAGGAGGGAAAGGGAGCATATGCTGAATGAACTGGAGATACTAAAAGAAGGGTATAAACAGGGCTAGACCCTGGAGATGATGACTCAAAGGGAGGGAAAATGCAGATGGAAGGGGTGAGTTTATCAATATGGAATGGATCTCTTAGGATTAAGGATTTAAAAACCCAGCAAAGGTCAAGGAGAAAGTGCAAAAAGTCCCTACTTGAAGTGAAGAAGGGTAATGCAAAAAGTGCCTACTCTATGTGAAAAATAAATACCATGGTAGAAGGAAGAAGAAGGAATCCAAAAGTTCAGATAGTTAGACATGCTAGAGCAGATTTACTGTATAAGGCCAGAAAACCCAACCCATCATAGGCTGCAGACAGGTGCAGATGAAAATCCATTTAACAAAGGAACATGGAATACACTGATAACAAAGGAACTGGCAATGTTGAGAAACAAGTCTGTGGCTGTGTTACTTTTATATTGCTGTGTACCAAATTACCACAAATTTATTGCTTAAAACAACATACAATTATTATATAACAATTTTTGTGGTCAGGAGTCAAGGTATAGCTTAACTGGATCCTCTGTTTCAAGATCTCTCAAAAGGCTGTTACAGTCAAGGTGCCAGCCATCCTGCATTCCTTCCTGGGGCTCAGGGTTCTCTTTCCAAGCTTCCATGGTTGTTGGCAGAATACATTTATTTGTAGAACTGAGAACCCTGGCTTCTTACTGGATATTTACCGGAAGTTGTCCTCAGGTCATAGAGGCTGCCCACAGTAACATCATGTGGCTGGCCCTATCCATAGGCATTTCACAACATGGCTTTTTGCTTCTCTAAGTCTGGAAGGAGAAACTTTCATTCTAGTCTACTAAGACAGAGTGTAATATAGTGTGACCTAATCAAGGAATGACATCCCATGACCTCTGCTATATTCTATTGGCTAGAAGCAAGTGAAAGGTTCTTCCTACACTCAAGAGGAGGGGATTATACAATGGCATGTGAGATATTGAGTGTTATCTTAGGATTTATACACTGGCTGTACTCTCTATGTCAGTGTTGAGAGTAGGAGATGGTGTTACAGATTTATGTTTCCTGACAGCAAAGAGGATAAAAGGAGTTAAAAAATAAATAGACACCAGGTGGCAGCAATTAAATGGTAGAAGCCCAGTAGACACAATGATCATAAAGTGCATCAAGATCAGAGTGGATCAGGTAGCCAAAGGATTCTGATCCACAAAGAGCTTTAAGGATGACTAATAGAATACAGTGTCTCTGAGGGCAAGATAAATGGACAGTAAACAAAGGTATTGCTTAATTTATACAACCAAGACAAATCAAGAATAGGTGACGAAGAAACTGAAAGTAGGTGGTCCAGTGAAAAATTACGGTCTCTTGCCCACATTCTGGATGACAGTCAATTCACCCAAGTTCTGGATGACAGTCAGTTCTTAGACCCAGAACTCACTGACTGAAAAATAGGCCAGGTTCCCATAAAGAAAGACCCTGCCAACACCATGGTAAGGATATAAGGTGAGTAGTACCACAGTATTTCTCCAAAAGAACCTATAACCATCCACTTGGGTAAGTGCACATTGTGGAAAGGATAATACCAGACATTTTGAGACATGGAGTCCAAGTTGGCATTGATTCTCAGAGACCTTAAATGTCATTAGGGCCCCCCTTTTAGAGTTGGTACTTATAGGGAGCAAATAACAAATGGAGTTATGGAGCATATTGAGATCACTGGGTCTACAGGTCTACCTCATGGTAATTATCCTAGTTACTGATTGTATAATTGGAATGTACATACTTGGGAGCTTGCAGAGACCCCACTTAGGGTTTTGGCTTGAAGGTAAGAGTTATCATTCTGCATAAAACTGAGCAACAGTCTCTGAAACACTCAACACCACAATCCTTTCACTGCTGGCCAACATAGCAAATCTAAAACAATATTGGATCCCAGAAAAAACGGCAGAAATTAGTACCCTATTAAAAGATTTCAGGGAAACAGAGATAGTCATCCATCATTATATTTCCATCTGTTTTTGGATCCTACAAAAATAAATGTACCCTGGCAGATGAAATTGGACTATTAAAAAACGCAACCAAATAATATCCTCAATCTTACCTTTTGTGCTGATGTAATAGCTTTGCCAGATCAGATAATTACGCCCTCGGGTAAATGGTATTTGGCCAATGATGCAGGTAATCTGCATGGGCAAGTGGCCTCAAACCCTATGGCACCCCCAGTTCTTGCACTGGCATTTTTCCCTCAGCTCACCCCTATGGCCACATAATTGAGGCTAAGGAAAGCCAACCTTGGTTTACAGTAGGGTCTGCTCGGTATGTGGGTACAGCCCCCAGGTGGACTGTGACTACATTACAGCTTCACACAGGGATGGCCCCCTAAGATAGCAGAGAAAGAAAATCCTCTAAATCCTTAGAGCTGAAGCCAATGCACCTGCTTATCCATTTCATGTGAAAAGAGAAGTGGTCTAGAATAATTATTAAAAAAACTCATTGTTTGGCTTATTGCTCCAAGACTTAGAATAAAAAAGACTGGAGGATCACAGACAAGGAGGTCTAAGGAAGAGGCATGTGAATGGACTTATGGAAGTGTGCACACTGTGAAGACATCTGCATTACATGCTAATGCTCTCCAAGAACCATCGACCATGAGAAAGGCACTAAACAAACAGACAGAATTGCTTGGTCAGCTGACATTAACCAGTTTCTTTTATTGGCTACCTCAGCTGGCATAAAAGGCACATAGATGAAGTAGCCATGTTGATAGATACGAATGAAGGCTATGCATGGGCCTAATGGCAGGAACTCTCATTCATCAAGTCTGATATAGCTATTACCACCAGCCACTGTTCAATACGCTGTAAAAGGAGACCAAAACTAATGCTCTAATATGGCGATATTTATTAATTAGACCCACCAGCAACTTGATGGTGGCATATTGACTGGGATCAACGTATATTTTGGATATAACTTTCCCGCTTGCAGGATCTCAGGCAGCACAATTATTCAAGGAATATAGAATGTTTAGCCCACTGCTATGGGGTTCTGTACAACGTGACATTGGATCAAATGATCTACTTTATATCAAAAGAAGTATAGTATTTGGTACATGACATTTGGGTCCACTGTCTTTATCACATACAGCAATACCCAGAAGTGATCGGTCTGATACAGCAATGGAATGACTTTTTAAACATACAGCTGAGGCTACAGTTTAGAGATAACGCTCTAAAACATTGAACATTATCACCAATAGATAGAACTCAATGGGTGACAATAGGAATGCCTATTTATAATTACTTTCCGTGACCTATTTAGGAAATTTGTGTGTCCTATCCCTGCAACTTCTTTAGACTCAGTGGTTCTAGACATGTTGGTTCTCAGAGAAGGAATGCTTTTAAAAGGGCCATAGTAAGCTGTGTTTTTGCTTCTTCCTTATCCAATTTTGATGGTCAATGGACAAGTAGAGTAGCCAAAAGGTTTAAGCTTAAGAATCTTGCCAGGGGCGGTGGCTCATGCCTGCAATCCCAGCACTTTAGGAGGCTGAGGCGGGAAGATTGCTTGAGCCCAGGAGTTTGGGACCAGCTTGAGCAACACAGAGAAACCCCATCTCTACAGAAAGTTAAAAATTAGCCAGGTGTGGTGGCACACGCCTGTAGTCCCAGCTAGCAAGGAGGCTGAGTTGGGAGAGTCATTTCAGACTGGGAGGTTGATACTGCAGTGAACTGTGATTGCACCACTGCGCACTGCAGCCTGGGAAACAGATCAAGACTCTGTCTCAAAAAAATATATATATATATGTGAACACAGACTCAAGTCTCAGTTTAAAAAAAAAACAAATCTGCATCGCTGCATCAGAACTCCAGGAAAGTCATCTGGTCTAGAAGAGGTGATTCATGTAAGAAACTCTAGAGTGGGTATTGGAGGAGGGAGATAATACACAGCAATTTTACCTCTGAGACTAATTATGGCAACAGGGGCTATCTACAGTCATTTGGCATTTTAAGCAAATTGGAAATGTGAAAAAGCTTGGTAAGTGGGTGCCTCATGAACTGAGTGAAAAATAAAAAAAAAAAATCGTCCTTTTGAAGCGTTGTCTTCTTTTATTCTACCCAACGACAATGAACCACTTTTTGATTGGATTGGGACATGCGATGAAAAGTGGATTTTATCCGACAACCAGCGGCGACCAGCTCAGTAGTTGGACAGAGAAGACGCTCCAAAGCACTTCCCAAAGCCAAACTTGCACCAAAAAAAAAAAAAAAAAAAAAAAAAAGGTTATGGTCACTGTTTGGTGGTGGTCTGCTGCTGGTCTGATCCACTACAGGTTTCTGAATCCCAGCGAAACCATTACATCTGAGAAGTATGCTCAGCAAATCAATGAGAAGCACCGGAAACTGCAACACCTGCAGCTGGCATTGGTCAACAGAAAGCGCCTAATTCTTCTCTACAACGCCTGACTGCACGTCACACAATCAACGCTTCAAAAGTTGAACAAATTGGGCTACTAAGTTTTGCCTCATCCGCCATATTCACCTGACCTCTGACCAACAGACTACCACTTCTTCAAGCATCTCAACAACTTTTTGAGGAAAAATGCTTCCACAACCAGGATGCAGAAAATGCTTTCCAAGAGTTTGTTGAATCCCAAAGCATGGATTTTTACACCACAGGAATAAACAAATGTACTTCTCATTGACAAAAATGTGTTGATTGTAATGGTTCTTATTTTGATAAAAAAAAGATGTGTTTGAGCATAGTTATAATGATTTAAAATTCACGGCCCAAAACCGCAATTAATTTTGCACCAACCTAATATATACATTCTATTGGTTCTGCCTCTCTGGAGATCCCTCATTAATCCTATGTGTATATATACTACATACACACAATAATGTATGTATATATATTCTATATCTGTATATATTATATATACATATATGTTATATACTATATATGCTTATATGTTATATATACACATATAACATATGTGTATATATATATTATATATATGCGCACATATAGTACAGGTTGATTATCCCTTATCTGGCATCAAAAGCGTTTTGGAATTCAGATTTGGGTTTTGGAATTTTGCATATATATAATGAGGTATTGTAGGGATGGGACCCAAGTCTCAACGCAAAATTCATTTATGTTTCACATACACCTTATTAATTATACACATACCCTGAAGATAATTTTAGACAATAATTTTAATAATTTTATGCATGAAACAAAGTTTCAGCTATATTTTTGCTCTGAACAATCACATGGGGTCCAGTGTGAAATTTTCCACTGTGGCAGCCTGTTGGTGCTCAAAAAGTGTTTGAGTTAGGGATGCTGAACCTACAGATAGATAGATAGAGAGAGAGATAGATGATAGATATGCACATCTATCTGTATGCAAATATGAATGTATGTACATATACATATATGTTATGTGTGTATGTGTCTATGTATGCATGTGTATATTTACACAGTTCACCCTCTATATCCATGGGTTTTGCATCATCAGATGCAACAAACTGCCAGGTGAAAATATTTTAAAAATATAATACACACAGAAACAAGACAGTAAAACCAGTATTTACATAACACTTACATTGTACTAGGTATAAATAAACTAGAGATGATTTAAAGTGTACGAAAGGATTGCTAGGCATGGTGGCTCATGCCTGTAATTCCAGCACTTTGGGAGGACGAGGCAGGCAGATCGCTTGAGGTCAGGAGTTAGAGACCAACCTGGCCAACATGGTGAAACCCGGTCTCCACTAAATAAATAAATAAATAAATAAATAAATAAATAAATACAAAAATTAGCCAGGCGTACTGGTGGGCGCCTGTAGTCCTAGCTACTCAGGAGGCTGAGGCAGGAGAATCATTTGAACCCAGGAGGTGGAGGTTGCTGTGAGCCAAGATCGCACCACTGCACTCCTGGGTGACAGCACGAGACTCTGTCTCAAAAATAATAATAATAATAAAATAAATAAAGTATACGGAAGGATGTACATAGGTCATGTGCAAATACTACACCCTTTTATATAAGCGACTTGAACATCTGCAGATTTTGGTATCTGCATGGATGCTGGCACCAACCCTTTGGAGATACTGATGGATGACTATATACATCTGAACAAACACTATTTGACTACTTATGATAAAATACTCAGATCCCAAAAAAGTTATAATATTGTAACACTAAGAAAATAAATAGCAGTATCAAATAAATCTCAAAACCAAATGACTTAGTAAAATATTATTATCACTCAAATATGAAACTTATTCCATCCAAAATTGGCAACATTATTTGGTAACTCTAATAATAGCAGCTATGGTTATTTAGCTCCTACTATGTCCCAAGCCTTTGGATAGGCTGCTTTTCATTATACCTTATCTCATCATGGAAGTGTCATATCATTTCATCTTTAACTATTCCGTCGTGTATTTCCATCATGTATTTCTAGAAGATAAGAATTATTTCATTAAGGAATACCACAATACCATTATCTCTCAGAAAAAAACAAACTTCTATCCTCATGAAATATCACTTGATGTGCAAATTTCACAAAGGTCATCGTTTTTTTCAGTATATTTGTTTGAATCAGGATCCAAATAGGTTTCACACCTTGATATTGGTTCATGTTATCTCTTAAATCTCATTTAATTAATTAATTATTTATAGAGACAGGTCTCACTGTGTTGCCCAGTCTGAAGTGCAGTGACATGACCACAGCTTACTGTAACCTTGAATTCCTGGCCTCAAGCCATCCTCCTACCTCAGCTTCCCAAGCAGTTGGGACCACAGAAGCCTGCCAACATGCCCAGATAATTTTTAATTTTTTAATAGAGATACGGTCTCACTATGTGGACCGGGTGTGTCTTGAACTCCTGGCCTCAAGCGATCCTACCATCTCAGCCTGCCAAAGTAATTGAATTACAGGCAAGAGTCAGTGACTGGCTCTAAAATCTCTTTTAATTTATAGTTTCTTCTCCATTCTTTCTCTTCTTTGTTTTAAATTTTGAAATTATTTTTGAGGACACTTGATCGTTATCTGTGGTAAAAATGACTCCTCTCAAAGATATCCAAATCTGAACTCATGGAAACCTGGAATGTTATCTTATATGAGAATAAAGTGTTTTTGCAGATGTGATTAAGTTAAGGATACTGGAAATAAGGGATTATCCTAGATTACCCGGGTGATCTTTCAAGGCAATTTTAAGGGTTCTTACAAGTGAGAGGCAGAGGGAATTTTTACAGAAGAGGAGGTGGCAAAGTGACCAGAGAGGCAGAGACTGGAGTGATGCCGCCAGAAGCCAAGCGATGCCAGCAGCCACCAGAAGCTGGAAAAGGAAGTCTTGCCCTGCGGATACCTTGAATTCAGCTTATTGGTATTCATTTCAGACTTCTGTCTTTCAGAACTGTGGGAGAATAAATTTCTGCTGTTTTAAGCCAACAAGTTTCTGGTAATTTGTTATGGCAGCCCTAGGAAATGAATAATTTTTTCTGTAAAATTTCCTGCATTGTGGCTTTTGCTGATTTCAAGCCTTTGATTTTTTAAATATGTTCTTCTGTCTTTTCTACTTTTCGCTTATTTTTCTTTTCCAAGATGGTTTTATAGGTGGTTTATATACTTTTACACAGATGCATATTATCTCTGGATGTCTCTCTTTTTAATTTTAGCAGGTATTTTAACTTATTGCTTACATTCATATATTCACTGGGAATTGAAATATAGCTATAATTTCTACATAGGCACTTTACATGTATTATCTTCTGTCTTATTAACAACTTTGCACTTTAGGTGATATATTCGAAAGCAAATAGAATACAGAACTAAATTTTGAAAGCAGAGGATGAAAGTCCAAATTCTGGGTTATATCTATAATGCTGCACTTTTACCAAGAATCTCAGGTAAAACAGAGCTGAGAATTTGACCCCTACTCTTCTCCTCCATATCTACCATCCATTGATTTAGACAGAAAGTAGGAGTTTCTGTAGGAAAAATATTTCTCATGTAGTTGTTGTAGATATATATATTAGAGATCCTTAGACTTTATTATAGTTTTGTTTGTGTTGTTGTTGCTTTCAGTACTTTTTTTTTTTTTTGAGACAGTCTCACTCTGCCACCCAGACTGGAGGGCAGTGGCATGATCTCGGCTCACTGCGACCTCTGCCTCCCGGGTTCAAGTAATTGTCTGCCTCAGCCTCCCGAGTAGCTGGGATTACAGGCGCCTGCCACCACATCTGGCTATTTTTTTTTTTTAATTGGAGTGGAGAGGGGGGTTTCACCATCTTGGCCAGGCTGGTCTTGAACTCCTGACCTCATGATCCACCCGCCTCTGTCTCCCAAAGTGCTGGGATTACAGGCGTGAGCCACCATGCCCAGCCTTCAGTTCATTCTTGACCCACTTTTGAGACACTGGCTGGCAATCCTTATCCAGACTCTCACACTTGGGACAGTATGCACTCACCCTATTTGCCTCAGGGCTAGATGCCAGACAAGTAGGCACAGCCTGTATGCCACTGGGTGTATGAGAAATTATTCAAATTAACCAATCTTTAGGGAGCCTGAAAAACCTAGCTAACCCCACCCTGCTTGTCATACGTAAGTTGCCCCCTACGGCTCCACTTGGCTGTCACCCTGTCCCCAGGTGCAATCCCCTATGTGGTCCTGCCTAATAGCCTTCTCTCACTTGGGGACATGTGTAACAAAGAGTTCTGCATTTCCTCTAGCCCAGTGTCAGCATGTCGTGGCCCACCATCAAAAACAATGTTTAAATCTTATTGTCAAAAGAAGACTATTCCAGCCTGTGCAACATGGCAAAACCTTATCTCCACAAAAACAATATAAAAAATTAACCAGGTATGGTAGAGTGTGCCTGTAGTCCCAGCTGCTCGGGAGGCTAAGGTGGGAGGATTGCTTGAGCCCAGGAGGCTGAGGTTGCAGTAAGCTGAGATCCAGCCACTGTACTCCAGGCTGGGTGACAGAGTGAGATCTTGTTTCAAGAAAAGAAATATACTATTCCAGCTTTATATAAAAAAGATAAAGTTAGGTCATTTTTTGACTTTTTTTTTTTTTTTTTTTTTTGAGACGGAGTTTCACTCTGTCGCCCAGGCTGGAGTGCAGCGGCACGATCATGGCTCACAGCAACCTATGCCTCACGGGTTCAAGGGATTCTCCTGCCTTAGCCTCATGAGTAGCTGGGACTATAGGCATGGGCCACCACACCTGGCTAATTTTTGTATTTTTAGTAGAGACAGGGTTTCACCATATTGGCTAGGCTGGTCTTGAACTCCTGACCTCATGATCCACCCGCCCTCCCCAAGTGCTGGGATTACAGGCGTGAGCCACCACGCCTGGCATTTATTTTTCCTTTTATAATCACCCATAATTTTGCACTTAAAGTTTTTTTTTTTTATCTCATAGCCTTTATTTATTTGGAGTTTTCTCTTCGCTCCAAACCCCTCAGGTAGGCAGATTAAGGATTTCTGTTTCTATGGTATAATTGAGAAAACGGAGCCTTCACACAATGAAGTGACTGGTCCAAAATCAAACAGATAATAATGGACAGGTCTGGGAATTACACCCAGATGTTGTGATTGTAAGTCACTGTTCTGTCATATTACTTCCAATAGTTATCCACAAACCCATTCATCCATTCATTCTTCCAACATTTATTGATTATATGTTATGAACCAGGCCAATACTAGGCTGCGGATGCTACAAAGATAAATCCAGTACAAACTCTGCCCTCAAAAAAGTCACAGGAAACAGGCTTAGAAAATAAAAGGATAATACAGTGCAACAGTTTTTTGTTAGAGCAAAAGCACTCAATGCTCTATGGGGCCCCAGATAAAGTCTTTACCCCAAGCCAAAGGGAAGGTTTCCATTAGCTTCAAAGACTGAACAATACGTGACAGTTATGTAGAAGTCAGACACAACAGCAGAGAGGGCAGCATTCAATTCATTTCCCAAATGCTTGATAGGACCCATGCTAGGCACTTCACTTCAGAGTATATTAATTGCTGGAGGAGAGGATAGTAAAAAAACATATTATAATACAGCATGATAAATGAAATGAAAAGGGAACATACATATTACAGTGGAAGCACAAAAAAATGAATGGCAAACTCCCCTTGGATAAGAGAAAATAATCACAGACAACCTCCTACGGTAAGTGACTGGAGCGAAGTCTTGAAGAATGAATAAGGGCCCACTGCCATGGCCATGGTGTTGCAGTCGCACCAATGCACCTTATTGTAGCAGTTTCTTGTTGTCTGAACTAGTACCCCAAGCTCTTTGTCCTACTTCCAAGAAAATTAAGGAACATGGACATAAAGTGGGGGTTGGAGCAAAAGTTTAATAAGTGAAAGGAGAAAGCTCCCCAGAGTAGAGAGGGGAGTCCAAGTGGATTGCCGAGTTATAGCTGAGTTTAAAGCTTTTGTAAGAAACTCATCTCTGCAGCAGTATGAGTAACTTTTCAGTAAAGCTGTCTGTGCAACTTCCCTTATCTTATGCAGCTATGGGTATGTCTCTAGGGAAGCACAAAGCACTGCTTCTCTTTTTTTGTATAACTGTGTGTTTGTTTTAGGTAAGTCCCCTCCTCCCTGTGCAAGTTCCCATCATGTATATGCCTGAAAAGGGAAGGAAACGTTTTCCTGGGAACTCAGTAATCATACAAAGAAAAAGACTTTCTGTGCTGGACCCTGTTTGCTTATCTGTGTGCAAGTACAGCCTGAGTGTTTTATTTTTCCCAGGTTGCTTCATTTTTGCCCATTGCTGTGATTTTTCAGGCAGGCCACTTCTGCTGTCTGAATTTTTCCTAAATGATTTTTCCTTTCTGTCTCTCTCAATGGGAAGAAAAGTACGGAGAAGGGAAAGGCTATTCAAAAGTAAACACAAGTATGCTTGCATAAACACCAGGAAATGCTAGCCAGTGAGAATCCCAACCCACTCCACATGGACTAACTTTATATAGCACCTCACTCTTAAAATAGCCAAGTGGTACACCAAGTGCTTTTAACTCTTGGCATAGGTCTTTCACGACTTACGTGCATTGCATCAAACATTTTCCATTGTAGAAGTTAGTTTGATTGAAAATCCATTATTTCTGGCCTATCTCTTTAAAGTCACCTGGGATTCCTCAGAAAGGCTGGTACACTTGCCATTTGGCAAGGTGCTGTATAATAGCTCTTCTACTTAGGGACATGAACACGTGGAAAGAACTGAACAAGTCACATTACAATTTTGGAAACTGCAATACAAAAGGTGACTTGGAAAGCAACACGCACATTTCCAGAGCACAAGCTAGGCCAATTCTAATTTCGAGAGAGGTGAACAGAAACCAAACCTTCAGTTCATATTAATTTGACAACATTATCACTTCAGTGTTTTCCTCTTTAGTAGTCCTGACCTTGACTCAGTCCTTACATTGGTGCACTGCCTAGCAGGACTATGATTCATGCCAGAAATCAGATGGACCCAAAGGGAGATCCTGCCATTCCTTATAAAAATAATTTGTGAAATGTATGTACAATGACCATAACACTTATGCTAAGGGATGTGAAACACTTTTTTTTTTTCACATCAAGAACAGGTTTCCTCAGGCAACAGCAGAATTCCTATAGTTATGGAAATGAATGTAAGACTTCAGAAAAGGACATATCATAGAGAGAAAAGAAGAGTTAGAAAGTGCATGTTACATGCAGAAATATAATGAATAAGTATGAGTGAAAGTAGACTTTAATGGTTTTGCCCTCTACTTCCGCATCCACACATTCCTGTCACTAATTCTAGAGATTTTCAAAAGCATTCTTTTTTCTTTCAAATATAAAAAGGTACCTTAATTTTTTGACTTTTACATTTTAAAATTCTTTTTCTGTAGTTCTCCCCACCCGAAGTTATCTCCACCACTAACAACTCTATCCAAAATGTAACCTGTTCTCCAGATCTTCCCATACTCAGCTGTGCTTTCTTAAAAATTTTAGAACATTTATCATCAGTTCCACATAATAATCTCGAAGATCATTTTGCTTCAACTTCTTCGAGACTCCAATCAAGCTTCTGGTAAGCGTTCCTTGACTCTAGAGTTCATATTTACTTGTTCTTCTTGTTTTTTGACAGTACCTAGTCTATGCTGTTATTCTGCAATTTATAATACTGCAATTATAGGTTTACAAATGTGTACCCTGCAACTGGCTCATATATTTTTATTTATTTTATTTTTTTGAGATGGAGTTTCGCTCTTGTTGCCCAGGCTAGAGTGCAGTGGTGCGATCTCGGCTCACCGTAGCCTCCACCTCCCGGGCTCAAGTGATTCTCCTGCCTCAGCCTCATGAGTAGCTGGGATTACAGGCACGTGCCACCATGCCTGGCTAATTTTGTATTTTTAGTAGAGACAGAGTTTCTCCATGTTGGTCAGGCTGGCCTTGAACTCCTGACCTCAGGTGATCCACCCGCCTCGGCCTCCCAAAGTGCTGGGAATACAGTTGTGAGCCACTGCGCCCGGCCAGGCTCATTTACTATATCAGGGAACTTGTTTGATATACATGGCCCAGTATCTAGTACCTGGTAAGAAATCAGGAAATGAATTCGGGAAATTAATAGAACACCAAAACATTGAAATAGAGAGACCTCTGGTAACTGCAAACAAAAGAGAAAATTCAAATAAAAAAATATGGGAAAGATGATATTGCTAATAATAGATACAATGGAGAGTCTATTAATAATGAAGAAATTCTTGAGGAAATAAATGATTCTATGAATATATAATATAGGAGAACTACCATAACTGGCACACAAAGTGGAAAACTTGGAAAGATAATACTCATGAAAGGAATAGAAAATGCTATTAAAGAAAAATCTTCTTAAAAAGGCTCCAGGCCCAGGCAGTTAGTAGCAGAATTCCTTTACATCAGTGTTTTTAACTGGTGCGTGTGTGGCAGCAGGGTGTGGGGGTAGATGTTGCCCCCAGGGGCAAAAATCCCTCATCAGTGTCTGAAGATATTTTTGGTTGTCACAAGCGGGGTGGGGAGGATCATTACTGACATGTAGTGGGTTAAGGCCAAGGATGGTGCTAAACACTCTGTAATTTATAATTACCCAGCTGAAACTGTCAATAGTGCTGAGGTTAAGAAACCCTTCTGTACCCTTAAAAAGAATTTCTGTGCTATATAAAACATTCCAACACATAGGAAAATAAGGAAAGCTCCTCCAAGCAACTTCTATAGCAAACATTATTCTGGTATTTGGAAATCAGACAGTTAATACCAAAAACATACAGTACTCTACAGACTATACTTACATATGCAAAAAACACCAAGTAAAATGATAATAACACACATCTAGCAGTGTGTATAATATATCTAATAATTGTTTATTCTGGTAGGAACACTTAACGTGAGATCTATTCTTTGAACACATCTTAGAGTGCACAACTCGTTATCGTTAACTACAGGCACAGCATTGTACAGCAGACCTCCAGAACTCACTCATCTTGCAGAACTGAAACTCTAGACCCATTGAACAGCAACCTCCTCCCCCAATTTTTTCATCCTGCCAGCGCCCAGCAACCAACATTTTTCTCTGTCCTTCTGTGGGTTTGACTTCTTTAGATACCTCATCTAAGTGAAATCATGCAGTATTTGTACTTCTGAGACTGGTTTATTTCATTTAGAATAACGTCTTCCCAGATTCCTCCATGTTGTCAAATATGACAGGATTTCTTCCTTTTTTTTTTCTTTTCTTCTTTTCTTTTTTTTTTTTTTTTTTTTTGAGATGGAATCTTGCTCTGTTGCCCAGGCTAGAGTGCAGTGGCGTGATCTCGGCTCACTGCAAGCTCCGCCTTCCGGGTTCACACCATTCTCCTGCCTCAGCCTCCCGAGTAGCTGGGACTACAGGTGCCCGCCACCACGCCCGGCTAATTTTTTGTATTTTTAGTAGAGACAGGGTTTCACCGTGTTAGCCAGGATGGTCTCAATCTCCTGACCTTGTGATAGGCCCGCCTCGGCCTCCCAAAGTGTTGGGATTACAGGAGTGAGCCACCGCGCCCGGCCAGGATTTCTTTTTTAAGGTTGAGTAGTATTACATTGTATGTACATACCACATTTTCTTTATCCATTCATCCATTGATAGACACTTAGGTTACCTCCATATCATGGCTATTTTAAATAATGCTGCAATATATATTGCAGTGTGTATATCTCTTTGAGATCCTGATTTCATTTATTTTGAATAAACACTGAGAAATAGGATTGCTGTATCACATGGTAGCTCTATTTTGAAATTTTTTAGGAACCTCTATACTGTTTTCCATAACAGCTATACCACTTTACATTCTAACAGTGTAACAAGGGTTCCAATTTCTCCACATCCTCTCCAATACTTGCTATACTTTGTTTAATAACCATCCTTACAGGCACAAGGTGACAACTCTCTGTGGTTTTGATTTGCATTAAAATGTTTTTCAAATCCCTGAAATGCAAGGATTACTTAATATTTGAAATTTTATCAATATAATTAATTGCATCACTAGAAAAAAATAAAAGATGAGACAACCTTCTCATTAAATACAGAAAATGTTTTTGGTCATATTAAAATTTATTCCTCACAAAATGTTTAACAAATTAGAAATTAAAGGGTACCTATTTAACATGATAAATCACAGCCAATATCAAACTTCTATGTGAAACATGTGAAACATTGTATTATAGACAGTCCCATTAAAATGAGGAACAAAACAGTTCCACTAATCCTGCTACTTACATGACATGGTTCCAAAATGTTTGCTGTTATAGCAGAATGAGCAAATATATTAATTTTAACATTTGACAGTTTGGATTTTAACACAGACTCTGTTTTTAATATCTGTGTTCAATTACCTAATTACTTAATCTTTCTAAACCTCAGATTTCTCACCTGTAATATCGGGATAACATTAGTACATATAGCATTGCTGTGAAGATTAAGTCAAGGTGAATAAACATATTACAAATGTGCCCAGAATATAGGAAAGCATTTTGTGTTAGCTATTGTAATTATTATAATAATTATTGGCAATTGTAATGAAAAATATGACTCTAGGAGATATGGTTATCATAACAGATATTCATCTATAGGTGCTCATTAATAGTAAATTGCTAGAGTTCACTCATGTTTCATCTGAGAAGGTTTCATTGCACTGCAATCAGCAAATTCATCAAAGAAGCAATACCAGACAATAGTCACCTATCGGATTAATAAAAACATTCACTAGAAGACTCACGCAATGTGTTGATATTGTTACCAGCAATAAGCTCCTAGTACTGCCATATAAAACCGCAGTGCATAATTTCTATTCTTTTTTACATCAAATATATAAGACAATCTGCTTCAGGCTGGGTAGCTGGTTTCCTCGGACAGGAGACAGGCTTCTCTAGAATTTACTCACCAAGATGGGATTCTCAGAAGCATATGAAATTTATGCAGAGTGGGGCAAAAGGAGCAAATGTATACAAATGAGGAATTGTTTGACCTCAATAAGTCCCTACATATGTCAATAAGCATCTCCAAACAAGAACAAGATCAAGTGCCCTCTCAAAGCTCTGTGTGCTTGCAAGGGTGAGTGAGAGAGAGACAGAGAGAGAAAGAGAGAAAAAATGAAAATACAACTTGGCAGGTTTCCAGCCTAACCATCCTTTAACTGGTGGCCATTAAAATAATACCTTCCAGCTGGCTGAATCATTTTCTGTCGTCTCTTTGTATATGAGAGCATGCATGTCTTTTGTCACTCTTTGTTAATAATACACATGCATCTGCCCTCTAGTCAGCAGTTGTGCAAACTAATAACAAAACTCAGTATCCAACACTCTGCAATAACTGGCTTGCTTCCTTGCTAAGGCCACCCCAGTCATCATTCATGAGCAAAGTAATCCAGATCCCAAGATCAAACCATTCCCAGGCTAAGAAAATACAAAGAGGGTTACATCCTGATGTTATAAGCTCAGTTTCAAATCGACTGGGTAGTGCAAGTCCCCTCGATGTTCTCCCCCTTCCTTTCCAACAGAAAATATGAAATGGCAAAGTACAGGTCCCAGGGAATGAACAATAATCTAAGACAATCATGGTAGCTCCGTACCTTTTTGACGGTAATTAATGTAGAGGTTGGCACGGCCAATGAAGCATGAGGGGAGTCTGTTGGTGAGTAGGGTGCAGAGTGTTCTAGAAAAGAATTGTTTTTCTCATTTTTTTCTGAAGACACCAGTTCAGATTCAACTTCTTTCTTGTGCTCTTGTAGGCAGTTTTTCAAAGACACAAAACTTAGAGATATGGCATGCATCTCGTGACCGTAAAGGTTAAGCAAATAGAATCACGGAACAGACAAGCCGGTCTACAGCCCTGAGATCATTGAGATGAATTAATGTGGAGCTGCCTACCTCCAAAATTCCAGTATGAGATTAATATACTCTTACTGTTTAAGCTACTTTTAGATGGGTATTCTATTACTTGCATCCACATTATCTAAACTGATAAAATCTGGTTTTACAATTTGGGCTCTTGCCTTATTCTCATATCAAGCCCCCACCTCATACATACTTAGGGATCCTGCGGCAATATGACCCGTTTTAGAGTGCCCTCTTCTGCTCACTTTCAAATACTCCAGTTCATCCAGGTGTCAGATTGCACAGGTGCCATTCACTCATTTTGCATTGATCATCTTCTCTGTGCCAGGCATCTTTGAAAGTCTTTTTATCTCAAGATTTCTCAGAGTCTGTAACGCAGACCTGATCTCTATATGCAAACCTGAAACTTCACAGTTTACTGCCAGTCTACCCTGGTTCCAAGGTAAACTTTGACTACATTTCCTACTGCTTCCATTTACCAGTTGCATGCCTCTCCGTGTAAAGGAAAAACCCTAACCACTACCTGCCAGGTGGAAGTCATTGATCATTGGTTTTTCAATCTAAGGGAGCAGTTCTAAACATTGAATGAGCATTAAAATCACCTTGGGAGCTTAAAAATAATCCCAGTGCCCACGCCATATCCAAGAGCAATTAAATTAGAATCTCTGGGGTTGAGATCTAGGCATCATTATTTTTTTAAAACTACCCTTACTCTCTGATTCTGTATGGGACCAACATTGAAATACACTGATTGAGTACTTGTGGAACGCATCTAAAAGCACCTGAAAATCTCCTTTAAACTACAATGCATCTTCCCCCGAATATGTTGAAAACCCCTGCCTTATATGTCTCTATCGTCCTACCTATCCCCACAAGCAACCAAGACAATTCATTCTGTCACCTGCTACATTTGTTCCCCTTGAGGCCAGTAACCACATTGACCAGATGAGCCAGAACAGTAACTGAAGAGTGCTGGGTCTGCCTTTGATCAGGCATGAAGCTGTGAGGACCAGACGGCTAAAAATTGCTCTTGACTCAGGGAAACTCAAATTTTCCTTTAAACAGATAGTCAAACCCAGGGTTTTGTTTTTTTTCCCCCCCCACTACAGAGACTCTACTCTTCTAACTAGCACAGTGTTCTCCAAAATCATCTGAAGATAATAATCACCTGGTATACTTGTTCTACACACCGAGTCCTGGGGCCTAACCCAGAACTACTGAAGTAGAATTTCCTGGAGAAAGATCTGGTAATGTGTATAGTTAACAGGTTGTCCCAGGTGATTCTTAGCAAGCATTTTTTGAAAATACTCCATTACTGTATATTTTCCCAATTGTATCTCTTCTGACCAAGGATTAGGTTAATCTGGGTTGTAGCCAAACCCCAGAAGATAGCACTGAATTCTGAGAATAGAAGGAGGCCTTGAAAACAATCAGAAAATTAATCCCTCTGTACCAAAGCTATGAATTATGCAGTGTTCTTACTGAAACCTCTCTGAACAATAACCTCTGGCCTTATGTAGGAAAACTTTTTCATTAACGTACGTGTATCTCTTCTCTTGATCTCTACCAGGCCCAATAGAATCTGACCCCCTATTGCCAGAAGCGTTTCTACACACACACACTTGGAAACATACTGCAGAACCTGGGGCACAGAGTTGGCTAGCATGGCTTGAGCACTTAAAATTCGTAGCGCCCCACACTTCCCAGACCTCCTGCAGCTGAGGAAAGTTGAGTGACTAGTTCTCACCAATGAATTGTGAGCCACTGTTGTAGCAACCCCAGGGCACATATAATAAGGTAGTCTGTAGAGAATTTAAAACCAACCTATTCCCACCTCATTTTGGCAATTCGATAAAGTATCAGTGATATATTATTCCTTCCTTAATACACACGCACACAGGCACACACACACATATATATATATGCACACACACTGTATATTTTGGCAGTCTACGTTCAAAGTAATTGCCGTGGTTACTGTTGAGTTTTAATCATATATCTCTACATCTCAACTTAGCACTTTGCTATTACTAATCCCTTAAAACAGTGTTTCCCAACCTTTTCGGCACCAGGGACCATTTTCGTGGAAGACAATTTTTTCCCGGACTGGGGGTTGGGGGATGGTTTTGAGATGATTCAAGTGCGTTACATTTATTTTGCACTTTATTTCTATTATTATTACATTGTAATATATAATGGCATTACGATACAACTCACCATAATGTAGAATCAGTGGGAGCGTTGAGCTTGTTTTCCTGCGACTAGACAGTCCCATCTGGGGGTGATGGGAGACAGTGACAGACCATCAGACATTTAGATTCTGATAAGGAGCCAGCAACCTAGATCCCTCGCATGCGCAGTTCACAATACGGTTCGCACTCCTATGAGAATCTATTGCTGCCGCTGATCTGACACGAGGTGGAGCTCAGGCGCTAATGTGAGTGATGGGGAGAGGCTGTGAATGCAGGTGAAGCTTTGCTCGCTCACGTGCCGCTCATCTCCTGCTGAGCAGCCCAGTTCCTAACAAACCACGAACTGATATCTGTCCATGACCCAGGGGTTGGGGACCCCTGCTTTAAGGAATACTATATTCTCACAAGGACAAAAAACGAAACACCACATGTTCTCACTCATAGGTGGGAAATGAACAATGAGAACACATGGACACAGGAAGGGGAACATCACACACCGGGGCCTGTTGTGGGGTGGGGGGAGGTGGGAGGAATAGCATTGGGAGATATACCTAATGTTAAATGACGAGTTAATGGGTGCAGCACACCAACATGGCACATGTATACATATGTAACTAACCTGCACGTTGTGCACATGTACCCTAAAACTTAAAGTATTAAAAAAAAAGAAATACTATATTCTATATGAAAGTGAATTTGGAGAACTACCAGGGATAAAGTCATTTCCAAGACACACTCAGCTACACAAGTTTCCTTTAAGGGTAAGTTTGTCAGAGTTTGGAATCATTTGAGCTCCTTGGAACGTAGTTCTCATCTCCAACTCCTGGGATACTATATATCCCTCCAGTAGATACAAAATAAACCATGATAGCATAGGGATCATGAAGACAAAGACTTAGACGTGAGTTACCATAAACCTTTCTTTCTATACAACCACTCAGCATTTTAATTTGTGTTTAAATTTTGCTTTAACTGCAGAGAAACTTGAAGGCCTCTGAAAGAAATCCTAAAGAAACAAAGACATGGACAGTACTGTAATTTGTAGAATTTATTTTGAAGCTGTATTTGATGAATCTCTATCAAACTTATCCTTATGTATAATGTTTCCTAATTATTTGTAAATCCGTTTCATAGAAAAGAAACATTTTAAAATTAAAGCTAATAAAAAGTATTTTTCAATTGACTCTAAGCGAACATGAATATGAGGTTGATTTTGATGAATCTGACAAATTAGCAGAAATATTAAAATCAGAAACAGTAATACCATTGTTATTTATTACTGTGTCCTACCAATATGTAGGTATAATTTCTCCCTGCTATCAAAAATGACCTTTTTATAAATATGAAGCATTAATCTATTACTTTTTTATTTTTTTCACTAAAATATTTTATTTTTAATCTTTTAGTTTTTACAGGCTTCATATGAAAGCAAAAGTTTGAACTTTTCTGATCATTATTTAGTTTATGTAATGATTATTACGGAAAATAATTGTGTCATATAGAGGAGGAAAGCATTACAAAATTATCCAGTTCAGATATTGAGTATTCTAGGTAAACCAGTGCCGTAAGCAGAAGTAAAGTGCATTGTCATTTTTTGAACTGAGAAGGTGAAAAGCCTTCCTTTATTTTAACCCTCACTGTCACCATAGATGCCTCCTGTTGAAATAGCAGTGCTACAAGATGAGGAAAAGCTGGATTTCTGAGTCACTCTTGGAAGGGAATTGGTCCACATAGTGGACTGACCAGCAGACTTATATGTAAATGAAAATACTTCCATGTGTTAATCCATCAAATTTCAGGATTTGTTTTTGTTACTAGAGCAAAGCCTAGATGATCCTGACTAACATGAGCTGAAGCACAGTTATCCTTTCTTCAGATAGGAAGATGCTGTCAGGTTTAGTGTGCCAAAACCAAGACAGCAATCCAGCTTTTTAATTTCTGGACCTTTGATCTTTGAGCAAGTCATGGAGAGAAAGTACCATACAAATGGCGTATGTTATGTAGGTATGTTTTGAGCTCAGGGACCGAAAAGCCCTTTCTCAATTTTAACCCTCAATTTTGTGTTGGTCTGATACAGTAATGCCACATTCACTCAGAAGCATTACAGAATGAGGAGTTCCACATGGGAGGTGGGGCATCTAGCTCTACAGACCAGATTGAGAATCAGGAGACTATCATTTTTTCAAGTTTTTGCCATTCACTGTCTGACTTTGAGCAAATAACTTTTCTTCCCCAAGGTTTTCCTTAAGCAGCTTTGTTGCCAACAGAAGATACATAATCTGACTAATTTAAGCAACCAAGGTGATGTATTGAGAGGGTATTGGGTTAACTCACTAAATGAAAAGAACTAGATAAGCAAATCTCAGGAAGGACAGGAACCAGAGTAGCTCTAGAGATTACAGCAAAAGAAACTCATGAACTCCATCTTTAGGGAACTGCTGTCAGATGATGTGGGTCAAAACATTCTTAGTCTCCGTATATCTGTGTGTGAGATTTCAATTCCTAGAATAGGGTGATCTCCTTGGCTTAGCTTAGCAGTGTGTGCAGCCTAGTGATATGCTAGAACCTGGTTTAGTATTCTAGCCTACTGGACCCAGGGAAACAAGATGGGAGAAGACTTGAAGGGCAGCTACAACCAGGCCTAAGTTTCCACATTTGACAACAGAAAGTGGTTGAACAACATTAGTGTTGAGATACAAATAGAGTTGTATCTCTATGTCTATCTATCTATCTATCTATCTATCTATCTAATCTATCTATCTATCTATTGTTAAATGAAACCTTATATGAAATTTGTAGTCAGTGGCCTCTGAGCCCCCTCTGTAAGGAACACTTTTGAAAATCATTTATTGCCTAATATCTTTTCTAGTTTCATTTTAACGATTTTGATGAAAATTTTTTGAGCTTTTCAAAAAAGTTCAAAAAGGGTTTTTTTGGTTTTTGTTTTTGTTTTGTTTTTTTAATATGTTCAACTCTATTTTTGGAAGAATCGGTGTCATCATTGTGAACATGAGATATTGTCATGGACCACAGGAATGTACTGTTTTGGCTTTCTCCCCTTAAGCCCAGGATGTCAACTGTCACTACTGTTGTCAGTATACCTGACTCATATACCATTAAGGTTGCCCGTAGTGTGCTGTTTCTGTAGATACCCAAGCTAAATCACAAAATTATTATGAGTTTCGAAGAAGGGATGAAAGTAGTCTCTTGAAAAGTGTTTGTGCTTACTTTAAAAACTTATATTTTCATGACACTGTCATTATACATTAACCATGTGACCTTGAACAAAGCACTTCCTCTCCTCAGCTTCAGTCTGTTTAAGTGTGGATTAGATCATCTGTGCCTAGCACAGTGTCTGGTACACTGCAGCTTCCCAATGAATTGAATCTTAGATCCTTCTAGCTTTATGAGAGCATGATTTTATCTGACAAAATGTTTACGTGTTTGGTTGCAATATGTCTAAAACTGGCCATACAGTTTGCTAAATTTTTAAGTTAAGTTTCTATCCATGAGAGTAACTAACAGCTAATGATCACATACATTATGCAATGCATTTTAAATATGTCCTCTTATTTAATCTAACAATTATATGAGAAAAGTGACATTATTCACATTACAGGGCAAGAGGAGTAAGGCTCAGGAACCAGAGCTTATTTTATCAGGGTTAAATACCATGGGGGCAGTAGGGATGAATTGCTTTCTTTAACTTGCAAATAGTTCATGGAAATCAAAATAATATATGTGAAAGTGACTTTGAAAATGAAAATGAAATATAAACAGAGGGTAACATTATCATCATTACTCTTATAATATGTTGGCATTTAAACTTAAGAAGGAAAAGTTGCTGAGCAAAGGCCTAAGGGCCATTACTATAAAATAAAGAGCATAGGGCCGTCTACATCTGCCAGAGCTTCACAGACTCCTTTTCTCTCTCCCTTCCTTTCTTTTTTCCTTTCCTTTGCTTCCTTCCTTCCTTCCTTCCTTCCTTCCTTCCTTCCTTCCTTCCTTCCTTCCTTCCTTCCTTCTTTCTTTCTTTCCTTCTTTCTTTCTGTTTCTTTCTTTCTTTCTTTCTGTTTCTTTCTTTCTTTCTAACTTTCTAACTTTATTTTTCTTTCTTTCTATATATTGATTGATTGATCTAGAGAAACTGAAACTCATAAGAGCCACTTCTGAGTTTATGGAAAACTGTGGACAAATTTTATGCAATGCATTCCCTGCATCATAATGATTCCAGTCATTCACACCTAATCCAGGAGACACCCCAACGATACCAAGAAAATGAAAAATCATGCTCTTATCCTTTGTCTACGACCTTGTATTAGTTCATTTTATGTTGCTTATTAAAGAATACTTGAAGCTGAGTAATTTATAAGGAAAGGAATTTATTTATTACAGTTATGTAGGCTGAGATGTCTCAAGTCAAGGGGCCGTATATGGGAAGATCATTCTTGCTGGGGGGTACTCTGTGAAGAGACCTGAGGTGGTTTCTTCACGTAGTAATAGGGCTAAGTGTGCCACGTGCTAGCGCAGGCCTCTCTCCTTCCTATGAAGCTATCAGTTCTCCTCTCATGAAAACTCATTAACTCATTAATTCATGAATCCATTATTCTAGGAATAGATTGATTTATTCATTAGGGCACAGCCCTCACAATACAATTACCTGTTAAAGGCCTCACTTGTCAACATTACTGCGTTGGGGACCAAGTTTCAGTGTGAGTTTTAGAGGGGACATTCAAACCATAACAAGCAAAAAATAAAAATGAAAATGAAAAAAAAAGCTTCTCACAGATACTGTGAAATTATAATCAAATAATCAACAAACCAAATTTATTGAACTGAGTGCATTTTAAGTGTGCAATAGCATCACGTCTGGCAAATGTTACTTTCACAAAACTACTCCATATTGCAATTATCTGCATATAGGTCCCAACTCAGCCACTTTTGTCCATCCTGACGCATCCCCCTAAAGTTCGAATCTTGGGGACTGAAAGCTGGACTAGAAATCTTTGCTCCACCAGCCAGCCTGGGTTTTTTATTCAGATCAGTGCATTTCCCCACTAGTGACCTGTTTGGCATGGCAATACTAGAGATAGCTTTCCCTTAATAATTTATAAAAGCCATATTATACCATTTTTCTAGATCATCACTGTGTAATACAGTAGCCACGAGCACTTGAAATGTGGCTAGTCCAAATTTCCATGTTCTATAAATATAAAACACACATTGGATTTCAAAGGCCAAGTAAGAATAAATGCAAAATGTGTCACTAATATGACTTTTCATATTGATTACATTTTGAAATGAAAATGTGTTCAATAAAATCTATTGTTAAAATGAATTTTATTCATTTCTTTTTAATATTTAATGTGGCTACTAAAGATTTTAAATTTGCATATGTGGTTCACATTAC